>NC_000005.10:20004790-20307820 GCF_000001405.40 Homo sapiens | reverse complement strand
CATAAACAGAAATATTTTGTAAGTTTTAGAGACATATTAGGAAGAGTTTTTAATAATAATCACACAATAATCACACTGTATTTTATATCTTGGCTATGACTTGGGATATTGATGCTTAATCTGAAAATAAATATCAAGGGAAATGAAATATTGTTTAATTCCATTTCAGGTTCTATTTTCCAAGTAATTTTTACCCTCCAGATGGTAGGCAATGCATGCCAGTGAAACACAATGGAAGCAGTCCACTTTAATCTCCTAAGGCACTGCTTCTTCTTTTTAACATGTGTGAATTCATGTCTTCTCTAGTGCTGTTCTAACTTTAATTCATATTGTTTAGAGTTTAGTTTTCTTTGATGTGACAGAAAAATCTGCAAAAAGCATATTAAATGTTATATGTCTCTTGTTGACAAAATATCTAAGGTAAATCTATTGTCTTCCCCTAACTACTCCATAGGCTACTAACATGTCTCCCCACATCTACTCTGCCCTCTAAGATCCATTCTCAATGCTAAAGCCCAAAATGTTATTTAAAAAAAAAAAATCTATTGGTGTCATCCCCTGCCAAAATTTCCTCAATGAATATCCATTGCTCTTAGAATAAAAGATCTCATCTCATTCTGTACTTCCTGAATTTGCTCTGCAACCACACTGGCTTTCTCTCTCTCTAAGTTGCCATGCACATACTGCCTTAGATCTCATTATATTATATAATTTATCCCATCTAAGCCAATAATATTTCAGGAGGCTATCCCTCATTTCCGAGACTGTCACATCTTCTTAATATGTCCTGTATTTTCCTCATAAGATATCACAGTTGGTAAATATATATTGAGTAGAATTTCTATTTGAATGATTTAAATGTTATTTTTTCCTATAACTATGGCATAAATTCATTGAGAATTATTTCAAGTTATTCAACAAATTTGATTATACCATAATAAATTATCACATGTATTAAATCATAAATTATTAAACAAATTAAATCAATAAATTATTCCATAATAAATATGGAAAGTAATATATCAATCACTGATCTTTGTGTTTTCCATATAGGGAAAAATAGACGCATTAAACAGAGATTTTAACCCTCACTGTTAAAAACATACCTTTGTGATTTCCCCTTAGCAGGACTCTGGAAAGTCTTCAGGGACTAACGGTTTAACTATGTCCCCAGTTAGAATTGTCTCAATACAAACATTACATTTGATTTAATAAAATGCTTATTTAAATTTCAATTTATTCAAGTATCAAAGTAGTTTATTAGTGAGTTAAAGAGTGTGATTAACATATGCAGCCATTTGTTGAGGCAAATCCTATCGGCAGAGTATTAAAAGCCAAGAGTATAGGGAAGGATGGTAGATTACGGAGACAAAAGCAAAAAAATGACTCTATGGAAAAGGCTACTTTGAGTTCGGGATTTTCTGGGCTAAGCAATTTCTAAAGAATATTCTTAGCAATAATATTAACAACATTAATGTTACCAACAATTATTTTTCTGTAGAGTATATTGGAAATATGAAAAAAACCTGCTATTGAATAGGACTGTGATCTCATAGAAGATGAACATAACATCAAAATGCTGTAAAGTCATAACACAGAATGAAACAGAGTAATTTATATTGAAGCATTTTCTATGTATTTTCCTTTATGTTTTGATCCTCATGGCCTGATAAAACTAAAACCAGAATTAGCATTTGTCTGGATAGAATTTGAGGAAGCAAGGCTGTGTGTAGAAGTCTTCAAAAGTTCTGATCGCACTGTCTCTTTTACTCAGCAAACGATTTAACACGTTCCTCAAAACATGTCTATATTGTTATGATAAATTGTATATATATGCAGCTACAGTAATATATTAAACACATTATCCAGCATATAATAAAATAGAAATGTAAATATGATGGATTGAAATAAGTTGAAGTTTTAATATAGGTACCTGTATACAAGTGGAAAATTGTAGCATCCTTTGTGTGTTCAACCCAGTTCAGAACACTGTCGGGGCGTTTCTTTCCTCCCTTTTTTTCGAATTGGTTTTGGGGGTAGATTCGAGTTACAAAATGGCCGCCCAAAGCGTGTTCGGCGCGGTTCCCACAGCGGTCTCCGGCTGAACCGGCGCGTCTCGCCGCCTCGCTGCCGAACACAGCGTGAGGATCTCCCCTACCGCCGCTCCCCCCACCCCCCGGACATGGCGTTTGAGTCTCTGGGTTTGCCGAGCACCAAGTCCTCTGAGGCCCGCAGCGCAGGACCGGAAGCGGCCGAGCGCCCTCAGCCCCGCGACCACCAGCCGCTCGAGACCCCTGCGCCGCTGCGCCCCGGGTTTCGCGGCACCCAAGACCCAGCGAGTGCAGCGGCGGCCGCTGAGGAGGTTCGAAAACATGGCCAAAAGCCGAGAAGGAACTGACAGATAGGAATTGGGATCAAGAAGATGAAGCTGAAGAGGTGGGAACATTCTCTGTGGCCAGTGAGGAAGTCTTGAAGAATAGAGCCATAAAGAAAGCAAAGCGCAGAAATGTTGGATTCGAATCTGACAGTAGAGGAGGCTTTAAAAGTTTTAAAGGTTTAGTGGTACCTTCTGGAGGAGGACGGTTTCCTGGATTTGGTAGTGGTGCTGGAGGGAAGCCTTTGGAAGGACTGTCGAATGGAAACAACATAACCAGCGCCCCTCCCTTCACCAGTGCAAAGGCAGTGGCAGAGCCCAAGGTAGCCTTTGGTTCTCTTGCTGCAAATGGCCCTACCGCCTTGGTTGATAAAAAAGTTTCAAATCCCAAAACTAATGGGGACAGTCAGCAGCCCTCCTCCTCTGGCCTTGCTTCCAGTAAAGCTTGTGTCAGAAATGCCTATCACAAGCAGTTGGCCGCCTTGAACTGCTCCGTGCGGGATTGGATAGTGAAGCACGTGAATACAAACCCCCTCTGTGATCTGACACCTATCTTTAAAGACTATGAGAAATATTTAGCAAACATTGAACAGCAACACGGCAACAGTGGCAGGAATTCTGAAAGTGAATCTAACAAAGCTGCGGCTGAAACACGGTCTCCTTCCCTTGTTGGCTCAACAAAATTACAGCAAGAGTCAGCGTTTTTGTTTCATGGCAACAAAACTGAAGATACACCTGACAAGAAGGTGGAGCTGACATCTGAAAAGAAAACGGACCCATCATCACTAGGAGCGACAAGTGCCTCATTTAATTTCGGCAAGAAAGTTGATAGCTCTGTTTTGGGCTCATTAAGCTCTGTCCCCCTGACTGGATTTTCATTCTCCCCTGGAAACTCCAGTTTATTTGGCAAAGATATTACCAGAGTAAACCAGTCTCTTCACCATTTCGCACTAAACCATTGGAGGGCCAAGCGGAAGGTGACAGTGGTGAATGCAAAGGTGGAGATGAAGAAGAGAATCATGAGCTACCCAAAGTAGTAGTTACTGAAGTAAAAGAAGAAGATGCTTTTTACTCCAAAAAGTGTAAACTATTTTACAAGAAAGATAATGAATTTAAAGAGAAAGTCATAGGTACTCTGCATTTAAAACCTACAGCAAATCAGAAGACACAGCTTTTGGTGCGGGCAGACACCAATTTAGGCAACATATTGCTGAATGCTCTGATTCCACCCAATATGCCACGTACGCCAACAGGGAAAAATAACGTTTTTATTGTCTGTGTTCCAAATCCACCAATTGACGAGAAGAATGCCACCATGCCAGTCACCATGTTGATTCGGGTAAACACCAGCGAGGATGCAGACGAGTTGCACAAAATTTTACTGGAGAAAAAGGATGCCTGAACACGCGAAGTCGGCTGCGGAATTATTGCCAAGTTGCTGCTTCTTCCACCATCCCTTCGACTTAGTTTTTCTTCTCTTCTTTGACATTCTAAGAACTTACAGATAACTTAAAACTTTTGAGAGGAAGATTAATGTGGCCAATAAAACCTTTAAATGTTAAGTGTCAAGAAACCGCACTCTCCCTTCTTAAGAACTGCCTAAAGTGTAAAATACATTTGAATGCAATTTTTGGAAGATTTTTTAATGTTCGTTTGTTTATTAAACTAACCCTAAGTGATTTCTTCAAGCACTGCAATCATGGTATCAATTCGCTTTCCCAAAGGCTCTTACAACCCGTGGGTTTTGGGGTCCACCGCCATCACCAGAGAGGCTTTTGAACAGGTGCCTGGCTGTGTTCAGAAGGAAGCTGGCCTGTATGCTTCTCTCCGGTGGGCTCAGCCGACGTGTGAGACTTGTTGTTACCAAATGAACCGGGCTGCGACGCTGTGACAGGCATTTGTCCTCTGCTTTATTTTTATTTTGAAGCTAAAATGTGAGTACTAAGTGTTCACCTCAGCGTTCGAATCATTGGCCTGTAACCCTGTGGGCTGCTTCACGAGAATTCAGGACATGCATTTTCATTCTAAAAAGAAACGAACAGCTTGTGAAGGAGTTTTTTGGCTTTGTAGTGTCTATTCATGAGGTAGTGTTACTTCTTTATCCCCCAAAGACAAAATGAAGATATAGGGGGATTGCCAGGAATGGGTTTAAAAGCACAAATTTGGTAGCTTATCATATACACCATGGAGAGTGAACCCTTACGAAATGAAAGTCAAATGAGACCATCCTAGAAAAAGAAGATGCTCATAGACATTTGTACCCTGATCAACCCCACGCATATGAAAACTATGACCAATTGACGTGCCTGGGAGCTTTGACACACGAGCCGTGTGAATTCACTAGGAAACATGTAATAAGGTAATGAAAGAGAAAATCGTGTGTAAATTTTGCCTTTAACTTTAGACAGCAGTATAATATACACTTGATATCTGAAATATTTTTACTTTTTTAAGAGTAAGATTCCATATGTCTGTTTGGAAGGGAGCCAGGGTTATGCACACGAATATCCATGTCACTTCTCCAGAGCTGTCAGGTAACTAACACGAGCATTCTTTGAAGTCTCTGGGCACATGAATGAGATACAGAATTGAATGTTTAAATTTCCACTTTGATTCCTCATGAATCATTTGAGACTAGTAGCAGCTGATCTTGTGTACAGGCTCAGGGTCAGTGCCCAAGGGCTCACGTGTGTGTGTTCTGATCTTCAGTGCGTAGCGCATTCTCATTTAGAAAAGAGTAGTCTGAATAATTGCGGACGGTACAGTGGCTTTTTAAAAACTACAGTCTTTAGGTGTAAGGTTTGGGGCCGGGAGCAATTTTATGATCAAATATGATGAACTCCTAAGTACCTGAGGTGTGATTGGGCCAATGTTGTCATGAGGTTCTTGCTCGACTTTCAGTGTTTTGATTCCACTGGGAGAATTTGGCCTAGTGTGTGGCTTTGGATGAATCCGCGCAGAGAGAGGTGAGCTTGTACTGTTACAGGATGCTGTCAGACATAGCGATAGTAGGCACCTAGGGAGGAAGTGGCCATGATTTTTACACTGACTTTTTAGAATTGAGAATGCACGTGGGGTTTTGTTGCAGATGATTCATAGTAAGCAAGTGGCTGATGCTGTTAATACCGGCCCTGCCCGATTGACGTTAAGTTTATTCAACTTTTAAAAAGATGAAGAACTAAGGGGAACAAATTTAAGTTTGTCGCAACTTAGCCACACGTGCTTCCCTGGTACCAGCTGGAATTATGTTTTAAAATGTTTAATGTGGACTGAAATTTTCATCTTTTGTTTGAGAATCTATGAAGTGTATCATATACTTGGCCTAAAGCAAGGTGTATATTTTGTTATTCTGAAATTGTTTTGCATCTGGACAAATACTAAGTATCCCAGTGGCCTTTTTTTTCTTAAAACCTGTGTATCCATCTCATCCTTTTGTGGATTCCTAGTAAGCAAAAAAATTTGTTATGCCATCTTCATTATTCAAATTACAGACTGAAGATATGGCCAGTTTTTAAAGTAGTTGAGATTATGTTTTCCATGGAAGGACAAGTCTGACTGTTCATGGGCTGATTTTCTTTAAAAGGATTATTCTATTTTACAATTTCAATTCTAGATCACATTTTATATGTGCTGCATGCCAAAAAAAAAAAAAAAAAAGAAAAAAGAAAGAGCAAACTACCTTTTCTGGTGTGGAGGGGAAGAAAAACTAATATTCTACATTACTAGTAGAGTTCAAAACAAGTTTTCACTGAGAGCCTTTTCAGTAAAAGTTAAACAAGTTTGTTTTTTGAGCATTTGTCAGTTGTTCTATTTCAGAAGAGTCAAAATTCAAGCACAATACATTTTGAAGGCTTTGCAAACTCCTAAACCCCTGATGAGTCCTCTCATTCTGGAAGTGGGAATTTGAGTAGATACTGATTTGTCCCGTAGTATGGTAGATGATGGGGAGGTCTTTTCCAATCAGGCACTCAGAACGCAGGCCACTGTATGTTCTCAACCAGTAACAATCATACTGAGGATGAAGGACTCTCCCTTTGATGCAGACACAATTGTAATGGAGATGTAAAACTTCTTAGCAATCAGATGGATAAATGGTTTGCTTTTTACTTTAAATAGGAAATTGTTTTCTAAAACTAAAATACTTGAATTGTCAGACAATATAATCTCAGCTTGTATTAGTTTTTGAATGCTCCCATCAAGGAAGTGTAACAATCTGTGAAATGTGAATAAATGAAAAGTAAAACAAACAAACAAACAAACAAAAAAACAAAAAAACACTGTCTATACAATTACTCTGCTCTGACCTTGTAAGGAAGCAAGTGTATGCTTCCCAAAAGATGCTCATTGAAAAAAAGACACAATAGAATAGAAAGTCTCCCATAAAGATATTAGAATAACATCAGCCTATCTTTAATAACCCGTTCACCCCTCTTTTGTTCAGGCTCCAAAGAAATTCTTCTAGTTCATCCCCTCCAATTTTTTTTAAAGTGAATGATATGTGCTCAGGTTAATCTTGGAGACTTTATCTTTTATTTTTTACATATTCCACAGGACAGTTAATTCTTTCTGTGGCTATACAGGTGAGATAGGGAAAATGCTATGTTTTAAAATAAGTTGACTTGTTCAAACTATTTTAGTGAAAATGATTCTTATAGAAAGTTTGCACATGACATATACCTAGGACTATTGGGTGTTAGGAAGTAATATCAATTTAGCAAGGAGCAGTTCAAAAGCATAGCCCTCCCATAGAGTCAATGTTCTATTTATTAGATCAGGGAGGTGAGCCTGTTGTGAAAATGAAGACAGCCTGAGGAGATTTCATATTCTCTTGATGATTGACCGATTTATTCTTAAGGATATGGGGAATCTCAACACCCGGGGGCTACATGAAAATGTTCTTTCTCTCACCTTTTATGAACAGTAGTATCTTGAAAGCAATTCTAACCACAACGTGCCCTAAAAAGTATGTTAAAATTGTCTTCCCCAAACCTAGTGGGACATGAGATCCTGGCTAGAAAAAAAAGTACATCCTGGTCTTGTTAATGTGGAGACAGACAGCAGGAAAAACGAGAGAATGACTAATGTTCAAATGCATTATTTTCCACAGGAAAATACACACACACACACACACACACACACACACGCACACACACAACTTAATCTATGTGGAAATGTTTGGCTCAGATCCTGTTGCGTTGTCCTGTTATATATTCAGTTTGAGCAAAATTGGGGAGAATCAGATCTCTACTGACCACTAAGGAGCTCTCAAACTTCCTTCCTCTTTAAACTAAGATTTTGCTCCACTAAGAGGAAAGATTACAGGATATTTTTCAGCATTGTGTCGCAGACTTGATTTTTTTTTAAGTGTCACACTGCAAATATATTTTAAAAAAATATTTCTTCACCATTTTGAAAAATGAACTGCAATCCTCGACAGTTATTTGATTTTATCAATTCATGTGGAATGGTCCTGTCTTGCTAAATCCTATTTATAGAACAACACATTTCTATTTACTTTCCCTACATAAAGATACCTTAACCTGCAATATATTTGATCTAAAATATGTCCCAGCTTCCTTCTTGACTATTTGCAAAACTAAGGTTCTTGGGTTATTATTTTATAATGAGAAATATTGAGCCATAAGCACAAGTATTCCACTTCTGAATATTCTTTTTTTTTTTTTTTTTTGAGACAGAGCCTTGCTCTGTCACCCAGGCTGGAGTACAGTGGTGCGATCTTGGCTCACTGCAACCTCTGACTCCCGGGTTCAGCAATTCTTCTGCCTCAGCCTCCAGAGTAGCTGGGACTACAGGCATGCACCACCACGCCCGGCTAATTTTTGTATTTTTAGTAGAGACGGGGTTTCACCATATTGGCCAGGCCGGTCTCGAACTTCTGACCTTGTGATCTGCCTGCATCGGGCTCCCAAAGTGCTGGAATTACAGACATCTGTTCTATGCCTTCTTGTGAAGAAACCTGCTGGAATGACTCATTTTGTGTGTGTGTGTGTGTGTGTGTGTGTGTGTGTGTGTGTGTGTGTGTAGCTAATGTTGATGATTTGGGGCTTTTAAGTTTAGGAAATCTACTCCTCTCTTCTAGTTACTTGGATCAAAATGGCTTGCAATAATTACTGACATTTCTATTTTGATGACAAACCACATCCATTTTGTGCAGAATTCAACCATGTTTTTATGCTCAGCTTTCCAACCAGTTAAGCCACTTTATGTCTCACTTTCATCTGTGCTCACCTCCTAATAGACCTCCATGTTCCCCTCAAATCTTATCAACAGAGAGGTTATTGTGACTCATTTAAACTAGCCTCAGACCAAGTTACACCCTCTTCAAAATTAGTTGAGGTTTCCCATCTCAGAGAAAAACTTAAAATCTGTTCTATGATTCATAATTCTTTACATTGCGTTTTTCCAACCGTCATGCCTATGTTTTTTATTTTATCTCCTATATCTCCCCATCTTACTCTACTCCTCATTCTTGTGAAACATTAAGATGTCTCTGTCTAGGTGTCTTTGTGCGCATTGTTCTCTTTCTAAAAATGCTTTCTTCTTATCCAAATGTTTTTTTTCTTCAGTTCTTCAGTCTCCAGCATAACTAACGTTTCACCTTCTCAGACATTTTCAATTCCCTTCATGTATGTATCAATGTATCTTACCTCATAATTTAATGGTTATTAGATTTTATTTTTTTGTTTCTTGCCAGAGTTTAGGACATATGTTTCTCTGTTTTAATTACTGCTTTATCTTTGGAACAGTACCTGGTATAGTGTAATATAAACTCAATAAATACATATTGAGTGAATTAAACCTGGTTATTCACATTTTTGAATTCCAAGGATATTAACCCTATTTTGAGAGCCAAAGTCGTATCTATGTAGTCTCCATTTTGTCTTTTAAATTTGAGATGCAATATCTTTATATTATTCTCAATGAGTTAATTATGAGGAATAAGATAACTTGCTCAGTGAATAGACAACTTCCCCAAAGGAAGGATTATCAATCAACTCTTGTAAAACTTAAATTTTTGAAATTCCTTTACCGGTCTCGATTTTAGTAGCAGTCACTAAAAATTAAGTTGGGGTTTCTTCCATCACTCTCTGTTGCACCGTAAGTTACCTAAGTTAATATAATTCATTTACTTATTGATCAGGGCATGATAAAAACAAAATTATAATTTTTTGAGTTTTAATTTTCTATAATTTTTGCTTTTTATATGCAATTTACTGGGAAATTTTACAAAAGAGATAGATAGTTTGCTTTTTTTTCCCTATGCAAAAAGTTAAAGAAAGGTCTTGGTTCTGCCCACGCAAACACTTCAATGGAGAGGTAAGTTGGTTTTTTAGACAGGCAAGTTCCCTTTTTTCTATTTTTCTAAGGTGGAAAAAAGTCTTACGGCTAGTTAGTTCAAGTGAAAATAGAATAATGGGGGGTATAATAAGTCGGCAAGACAGATGCCTTCCGGTTACTTATCAGAATAAAAGTATTACAGGTATTGTCAAGTAGCATAATGTTCAACCTATTACCACACAGTTATTTTCAAATATTTGACTGAGAGGAAACTACTTCTGGAGGACAGGCAGAAGAGAACTCTCTTATTTTATACTTCATTCTGTAATATGAAGTACAACCTCAGCAAGAGCATCAGAGTGGGGTTCATTTGGATCACACTATCCCCCTAACTTAAAGCCCTAACAATTTTTTTTCTTAGAAATGTGCTTTGCCGTTGCTTATAGTGAAAGATGTTATAAGAAAAAGTGACATTTGGCACTAGTTATTTCACCATAAAAGTACTGTCGACAAATTGTATATTTAGCAGCATCCAGTTTATGGGGACTCAAGAGATAAAGCTTTTTATGGCCTTGGTGATTCTGCTCCACAACTTGCCTTTTTTCATATTTTGGACATTGTGACTCATTAAATTGATTTTGTTTCTTTCGTTGCATAGGCTACAATGAAAATTAAAGCCAAAGCCATGATCCTTCTGTAAGAAAATGGTTGAAATAATATGTATTGGTTGAGTTTATGCTTTGGTGTCAGACTTGCTGAATTCAAAAGCAACTTTTCCCACTTGCTTGCAGCAAGACATTAGATAGTGACTTGGCCTCAATGTGTCAATTTCCTTTTCTTAAGTGAGGAAGGCTAGTTCGTTCAGAGGGAGGCTGCTATGACTATATGCAGCAATTCAGAAGAATGCTTAAAATCATGCATGAAAAGTAGAAAGAAAGGGGAAAAACCTATAGGATCATTTTCATGATTTTTATATACTAACATTTTTAATTTAGTAAAATATTATAATTCCATTTTTACCTTGGCCTGTTTTATATTATGTATTTAAATATATGTTAAGTATTTTCTGGAAAAGAACACATTAAATTATTTCTAGTTAGATCGGAGATAGATAAAACATAATAAAGTAGATATAAATGGAAGTATATCTATCTCAGAATAAATATAAAATAAATTTACAGTTAATAATAATTAAGTACTTATTTATGTAACAGAATCTGTATTGAGTAACATAGACTTATATGCTTACACTAATAATCTGAAGAATTTCTTTATTCATTTATTTCACTTTAAGCAAAATAGTGAATATCGAAATATCATAGTAATATTATTTTTTCAAACCAGGAAAGACTCACAATGGTTTCTAGAATTATATATCAGGTTCAAAATATTTAAAATGTGTATAAAATTTTAATTACATTTAATATTTTACAATATAATTAAGTAAAAATGATATATTACATATATTATAAACTGTAGTTTACTTATAGCATAGTTTACTAGATTATAACTGTACATTTAAGGTAAAAGAAATTGATTGCTTTTTTGAGGTGTTTTAGTAACATATAATACTATAAAAACTTAGTGGGCCGGGGGCGGTGGCTCACGCCTGTAATCCCAGCACTTTGGGAGGCTGAAGCGGGCAGATCACGAGGTCAGGAGATCGAGACCACCCTGGCTAACACGGTGAAACCCCGTCTCTACTAAAAATACAAAAAATTATCCAGGCGTGGTGGCGGGCGCCTGTAGTCCCAGCTACTCAGGAGGCTGAGGCAGGAGGGCAGGAGAATGGCCTGAACCCCGGAGGTGGAGCTTGCAGTGAGTCGAGATGGCGCCACTGCACTCCAGCCTGGGCAACAGAGTGAGACTCCCTCTCAAAAAAAAAACAAAAAACAAAAACAAACAAACAAAAAAAAACCTTAGTGGAAGTATGTGAATTTGTGGCATTATAATAATCCATTATGAAAATTTGTCGGCCAGGCGCGATGGCTGACACCTGCAATCCCAGCACTTTGGGAGGCTGAGGCGGGCGAATCACGAGGTCAGCTGTTCAAGACCAGGCTGGCCAACGTGGCGAAACCCCGTCTCTACTAAAAATACAAAAAATAATTAGCCAGGCATGGTGGCATGTGCCTGGAATCCCAGTTACTCGGGAGGCTGAGGCAGGAGAATCGTTTGAACCCGGGAGACAGAGGTTGCAGTGAGCCGAGATTGCGCCACTGCACTCCAGCCTGGATGACAAGAGTGAGACTCCGTCTCAAAAAAAAAAAAAAAAGAAAAAAAAGAAAGAAAATAAAATAAAATGTCTGCAGATTGATCTTTCTTATCAAGCTTGAGTATATATGTAAAGAAAATAATTCGCTTTGAAAATAAACATATATACAATCAAATCTTATGCTTTCTTAGAATTTTTTTTTTTTTGAGACAGAGTCTCGACCTGTCGCCGAGGCTAGAGTGCAGTGGCACAACCTTGGCTCACTGCAACGTCCACCTCCTGGGTTCAAGTGATTCTCCTGCCTTAGCCTCCCGAGTAGCCGGGACTACAGGTGCACGCCACCATGCCCAACTAATTTTTGTATTTTTAGTAGAGACGGGGTTTCACCATATTGGCCAGGACGGTCTTGATCTCTTGACCTCGTGATCCACCCTCCTCGGCCTCCCAAAGCGCTGGGACTACAGGCGTGAGCCACTGTGCCTGGCCTCTTAGAATTCCTGTGCAATTGATAACCATCTGGAAAAGTGTTTGATAATCATTTTCTTTTCAATCTCCATTGTCTCATTGTCTGCTAAGGGTCTACTGCCTTTCTTCCTATCAAAATTTGTCCGGTTGATTCCTGCCATGATTATCTAAGGCAGTATTATAGCTGGCTCCCAGAGATGTGAAGGTCTATGGTATTAGACTGTTATATACAATTAGATGCAAAACAATATAAAATCACAAAACTTCTTGGTTTTTATTGATGCTATTCCTGATGTTCTAAGATAATTACATACAATGTTCAAAGTACATTTCAGTGTATATCTGTGCCATTTTTTATCTTAAAACAGTGGAGAAAACTAGCCCTGTGGAAACTTTAATTGTGACATTTAAATTATTATACTTTTATTTTCTAAATTATACTTGTCTGATTAATTTTTTATTAAGTAAAATTACCCACACAGATTTCAAAGTTCACTCTGAATAGCTCACACATTAATCATGTACCACATCTAACCTGAAATCAAAGCCTTTAAGTGACTATACTGAGTCAATATTTACTATCAGAATTTTTGAACAATGAAAATATATATGTAAGTATATGTATGTGTGTATATATATATGTAGGAAAATAGTTAATGTAGCTGAAGTAAACACACAAGCAAAAACACTTCAAATTACTTATTTTTTAATTTTGTAAACCATGCTACACAGAAGGATGTGGTACAGCTTACAGAAAGTATGTACTGTAGAAAACCTTAAGACAAGGTAAGATTAGGAACCTTGGGAAATACAAATGGGACAAAAAGATTAAGTCAAGACAAACAGTTTGAATATTGTTATCACTTTAAATGAAACAATATAGTATGGTATAAATTTTGTAATCTGCTTTCCTCATTACTGCGATATGTCCTCACAAAGAAATCAAAATCAATGTTTACCATTACATCTAACTATAAGATGAGGAAACATTCCCTTAGCCTCCCATCTTACCAGCTCTCCTTTGAGGGGAAATCAAATGAAAACCCACCAATCGCATTAACAAACAGCATATATTTGTGGCACACAGTGCTTGGTTGATAGACATTATTGCTTTCCTGTTACGGGCTAACAGGATCCATTAATTCACATTTGAGGCTTAATCATGTGCAAGGAAAATGGAAAAAATATTTGATAATGACCTTTTATGGGCTGTTGGTTGTAACACTGCTTACTTATTAAACAAAGTAACTACTTTGGGTAATTAAGAGGATGAAGAAGTGGGCATTGAAATGCTTTCGTAAGTGTTCCCTTAACCGTACTAAAAACTCACATATGGAAAAGATTAAAGGTGGTAAATATTAGGCCTCAGTGCAACTTCTGTTTACTATGACCAACAGTGTATATAAATCATCCATTCTATTATTTAACAAGCAGTACATATTCATTAAAATATTTATTGGGGTCCTATTAGTTTCCACTTAAGAGAAAGTAAACAGAAAAAATTAAAAAATGCCTACGTACATCAGTGAAATTAAACCTGCCCCAAATACTATAAATCAACCAACAGTACACTTCTATCCTATTTACACCTCTATCCTGTTTACACTCGTTTCAGGTTTTAATGTTTCCTGTGGTTTTTACATGTTGAGCTTCATATTTTATAATACACTATTTGTATAATAGAAAACTCATCAAAAGAAGTGAATTATCTAAATTAACTTTCAAAAGCATCGGTTATGCCAAAAAGTAATACTGTTTTACCATTTTTATTCATGTGTATAAATATCTCAAGCTCCTTTCTAAAATTGGTTGGTGATGCATGTGTAATTTTAATTCATGCATTAATCTCTACTTATTTGTTCTTGAATAAGATACAATAATTTTCCTCATGAAACATTAAATTCTAAATACCCCAAATAAAGTGCAATCATCTTGAGTTTTAGTTATACATCTACTTTTCCATGTTGGACAATTTTTCTCATCTTTCAACACAATCTTCTTTTCTTTTCTTTTTTTATTCAGCACTTATCTCTTCCTTATTAACACATTTATACCTTCCTTATGACATTTTCTTTCCTGTACTATTGTCTCTTATCCATTCCACTAGCACCACTCTGAACAGTTTTTGTTTTTGTTTTGTTTTGTTTTTTTGAGATGGAGTCTTACTCTGTCACCAAGGCTGGAGTGCAATGGCGTGATCTCAGCTCACTGCAAACTCCGCCTCCTGGGTTCAAGCAATTCTCCTGCCTCAGCCTCCCAAGAAGCTGAGATTACAGGTGCCCACTACCACTCTCGGATAATTTTTGTATTTTTAGTAGAGACAGAGTTTCACTATATTGGCCAGTGTGGTCTTGAACTCCTGACCTTAGGTGATCAGCCCTCCTCGGCCTCCCAAAGTGCTGGGATTACAGGCGTGAGCCACCGCACCTGGCCTCACTCTGAACAGTTTTAACACAAGAGTTAACAGCTGTTATAGGTTGAGTTGTGTCCCCTAAAAGATATGTTGAAACCCTAACCCCTAGTACCTGTGAATGAAACCTTATTTGGAAATAAGGTATCTGCAGTTATATCAAGTTATGATGAAGTCAGCAGGTAGTCCTTAGTCCTACATGACTGGTGTCCTTGTAAGAAGAGTAGAGAAACAGAAAGTAACACACACACAGGGAAGATGATATGAAGACATATAGGAAGAAGAATGCCATGTGATGATTGAGGCAGAGAACAGAGTGACGCTTCTATAAGACAAGTAATCTCAAGAATTGATAGCAAAACCAGGAGCTAGAAAAAAAAAGCATGGAACACGTTCTCCTCCCATGTCCTTCACAAAGACATGGCACTGCTGGCAATTTGAAATCAGACTCTGGCCTCCAGAACTGTGGAGAATACATGTCTGTCTTCAAGCAATCCAGTTTGTGGTTCCTTGTTTTATGGCAGCTAATATAACTGCATTGGCCTCCTCCTCAGCATCTCCAACCACAACACACAGAGCCCTTCAAAAATAATGACAAGTGAAAGTGAAGATAATTTCACCACAACTTTAGTAGGGCATTCTGGACACTCAGCTATCATTCTCTTTATCTTTGACCAAAGGCATTTCTCTCCTTTATTTCTCTACTTCAGCAGCTCTCTATCCTCAAATCCAATTACTTTTTGCTAAAAGCAAAACAGCAGTGTTTCTCAATCTCAGAAATTGAACCATCAAGTGAAAACTTACTGTCTCTCAATTTACCCACATTCATTGTCATGTCCCGGTCTTACAGCTAACAGACATAAAAAATAAGATAAAAACACCTCTCCTTTACTGCCAATAGCGAATGCCTTCATCCATGTTCTGAATATCATTCTTACATTGCATCAGCATCCAAATTCTTACCTTTGCAAATGGTTCATTACTGACCCAGGTGTGCTCAGCCGAGGAGGCCACTTAAAGCTTCAGAGAGTTTCTGAGTCAAAGAGCTCACAAAATTGGACATGATGACATGACAGAGGAGAGGCTAGGAAGGAAATTACGGGAAAGAGGTCAAAACTCTGAGGTGAATCAGAGTAAGCATTAAGACCACAAAAGCCAGTAGGGCCAGAGGAGACATTCTGAATTTAAGAAGTTTCTCTATGGTAAAGTAAATAAAATAAAGGCAGTTTAGGATCAATGGGTGCCTGGAAAAATTGCTTTGGACCTACTCTTGTAACATTGATATTTAAACCTTTAATTATATAACCTTTCCAGAAACTATGTCCTTTTCCTTTCTGATGACTCAATTTGACCTTGAGTAAACCTGTTTAAAATCCTATCTTTGAAAATCTATTCCCTGACAAGAGATCTAAACAAAACACATCTCATGTTGGTTACTGTTCATGTTCCTTCTAGAATGTGCCTTTCTATACAGCCAAGTGACTTCCTTTCATTTCTCAACCTGTGGAAATATTCTTTCTGCTTCCACTGCTCTGCTGAACTGATTTTCTCCTCATGCTGCAATGGTCTTTATATTGCCAATTTCATTTCCGTTTTTGGTTCTTACATTTCCTAAATCATACCTAATCTTTTTATACATGGTTCCCCACCATCACCCTTAAGACCATTCATCATTCACTTTAACTGTCTCTTTTCCTTTTTTGTTGTTGTTCCACAGACCGACTCTCTTAGTCTTCATTTCTGGCTGTCAATTTCTCTGAGAGTTAACATCTATTTTTATGGGATCAACTATCATCTATTTGCTAATAGATCTCAATTGAATATTTTTAACCCAGAATTTTATACTCAATTAAAAACTCTTTGATTCACTATTTCCCAGGAAATTTCAAACTTGGCATGCTCCAACCTAAATGTATCTTCACTCAAGAATATACCTTATTCTATATTACATATTTTATTCATGACATGAATAAATATCTCTGGAAGCCATATTTTCTGCTTCATTCTTATAATCACTCTCATATTTAAGACCATGGGTACATTTTTCCCTTGTCCATTTCAATATTTTTTACATTAGAACCTTTGCATCCAGTTTTGCCCCTTTAAATCAGCCTAAATTCTGCTCCAGCACTGGAATCTTAACACATCACCACCCTATTTCTAAGTTCTCAATGACTCCCATAGCAACATAGAACCAGGCTTCATAGAATGACATACCATGCCACAATGTTCTGGACCTAGTCCACACTTCCACCTTCTGCCTCCTTCTTCCATTTGCTATTTCGTTTTTAGCCATCCTGAGCTACTATTCTGTTTTCCAAATGAGCCATGCTTCCTCATGCTGTCATGGCTTTGAACATATCACCTTTGCTTGGACTGTCTTCCGAATCAAGCATTTTTCACTGGATCATATCGTACAACCAGAATGCTTGTCAGGATGTGGCTCAAATATTATTATCCTGGAAATTACTTTAGTCTCTGTAGGTTTGAAGTATTTTAATTTGGGAACCTGTATTTCTATAGTTCATTCTTTGAGGTATGCAAAGGTAGGGATTATGCTTTATTCACTTTTGTGATCTCAGCACTTAGCCTAGGTCCAAGACTACATCAGGCATTTAAATATTTGTTGAATAGATGTTGCCATCTCTGATCTTCCCCACCTCTAATCTTCACACACATTTCTAGCTGCACAGGTACATAAGCATTAGCAACATACTCATTCTACTGCATAAGAAGCATGCCTGTTTTGATGCTAGCTGTGTGTGTTGAGCAGTGATTCTCAAGCATTAATGCATAGAAGGATTTCCTGGAGAGCTTGCTAAAACACTTAAATTGAGACCACCCCAAGAGGTTCTGATTCAGTAGGTCAGATGGGGCTCAGAGAGTCCTAACAAGCTCATAGATGCTTCTGTTCTGATGGTAGCAGTATAACCTTTGGGAACCACTGCTGTAGAATGCACTTGACAGGGAAGGAAGGTATTATTTCTCCCTGCCTTTGGGAAATAGTCAGGAAGCACATCTAAAGTGCCTTTGTGTGATTATGTTACTTCTACCATTTTTCAAATTCCAGATTTATATTTGTTAATTACAACAGTTTTTGTGGGCAAAGTAGTGATATTAACAACAAAACTAAGCGATTAGGTTATGAAAACAGACACAGCTATCTACATATTTCTGTCTACAACATTCTCTTTGCCTTGTTCTTTTGAATGTATTTCAGTTTTTTGCCTCTGGTGACCCTATTGACAGATATGTATTAAATCTGTAGTTTAATGTGTATCTGATCTTCAGTGTTTTCCTTAATCGTACTGTTACTGCTACAACAAATTTAAATGTAAGCAATTAAAATATATATTTTAATATATATTTTCTTCTAAGATTTTATTTGTTGCAGCTAGAAACTAAGTTCTATAATTTACATATTTTTACACTTATTTCATTAATGAGGAAACTGAGATTCATTAAGAAAGATATTGACTGTGGTCCTAGGGTTAGAAAGTCCCAAAATTGGCACTAAATATTTAGTCTGTCACCTAGTGTAGTGCACTTTCAAATACATAACCCATCAGACACAACAGATACCCATGAAAATTTACAATAGTTAAAGTGGCCACAAGTCACTGCTGAAAATACCACTCTTAGTGACAATATTTGTAGGTATGAGGAATAAAGCTTTTATAGCTAAACTTTTCTAGGTCAGGTTTTAGCTCTATGATTAACTACTAATTGTATGTCTTTGGGAGAGTGAGTTAACATTTAATAATTATCTAACAACTGTCATTTCATAATTCTCATTTGTAAAGCAGAAATAAGGATGTTTTGAATATTAAATGAGTTACTATATATTTTAAAGAAGAAGTGAGCTAATATACATTTAATACCATATTGGATCCTTGATTATGGCTTTAGTGTGGAATAAAGACTAGCCAAAAATGGGTAAATATGAGTAGAAAAGAGGTTAATTAATTGGGACAATAATCTAATGCCACTGATTATTCAGTAGGATTCAGAAAGAATTTGACATGATCCAGGTACCATGACAAAAGAATCCAAAGAATTCTTACTACATTGCTAAAAATAACATCACAATTCGTTAAAAGTCTAATTAAAATTCCAAAAATAGTTGATTTCTAGAAAAATAGTTCAGATTAAGAAATGTGAAGAATTATTTTTTGAAATATATCTTAACTGTAGGTATTTTAAAAATATAAAAGTTTCACAAATTTTCATTCTGCTGAAATACAATCTGTACTATTTCATTTCAAGTGTAAAGGGATATGCCGTCTGCCTGTGCATGTTACGTGTGTGTGTGCATGTAAGTGTACAGTTTTCTTGTGGCTCTGAATAAAGCGAATTGACTATCACAAGAAAGGATCTATTATGATCAAATTAAATGTTTCCTCTTCTTATCACTCTTCGTTGGTTTGATGGTTTGTTCTTTATTTGTTAGGTATCCCTTTCCTGGCAGTCAAATTATTTTGATGTCATGAATTACCAACTTCTGTACCAGAAAATAATAGTGGAGATTTGCTAGACTTACAATAAAAATCATAAAACATCTGATGATCAGGAAGAAAAGTAATGGCTCAATGCATATATATATATATATATATCGTATTTTTTGAAGCCACTAGAAACTAAATACATCACTTTTTTGCATCACTGGTCACATTTCTTACTCTGAAATTAAAAGGGACATGCTAGTATTTTATTAAGTAATTTGACTCCAACTAAACCTTTCTCACCATATTTTTATCTTGTACATTCACTTTTTCCAGACATGCTCAAATTGTCATAAATGATTTCTATTAGAGTTAAGGATTTCAGTCATCTGAGAAGATGCAGTGCAGTGAGATTCTGCCTCTGAATTGGTAACAGTTAATTCTTTTTATATTGCAAAGTAGATTCTTGCAGAAAGGAATTTATGCCTTCATTTTCTATGTAGGTTGCATGGCATTTGGTCCACAGTGACAAAAAAAAAATGACCCCAGAATATCTGCAGTATATTTTGCTGAATGTTAACAGCAGGTTCAGATGTGTTTCATTTCTGACCTTGTAAAATGCTTTCTTGATTATGCAACGCTTTATACATCAAATACAAAAACTGCTACGAGGGCTTCAGCTGCTTGAACAAGGATAAATTTGAGAAAATAAATAAATGTTGTTCAGGTCAGTTTCAATGAAGCCATTTTTCTTCTATTATTCCATGGCATGAGTGATGCATGATATATTTGATTACATTTTAAATGTGATACCGAGAAGTCACAACGTTGATTTGTTTCACATGAATGCTTCTTGGTCTATAGTGCTAAAAAATAAATCATTCAAGTTATCTAACCAGCTAATGTTTTCAATTGGATTTACAGAATATTGTTTCTATTATTGTTATCAGCTCATCATGATTCAATGTATGTGTGTATGTGTTGCTAGCATATCATTAGAGTTGAAAATTCTAGTATCAAACATTTTAAACCTCAGCAAAATTCTAAGGCTGTGAGCTTTTAATATTTGTTTACTATTTGATAAATGTGTAATGCTTAATTTGAGAAGATATTTAGATTTCTAGTAGATGGAGGAAAGTTTTAGATTATCTTTGAAACTTATATAGAAACAGAAAAGTTATGAAATATCAAATCTTAGGAACCTATGGAAAAAGGAGGCACAATATTATCCTTCAATTTAAATTTGAATAAATATATATTTAAAACACTCTATGCCTAACATTCTAAAGTATATGACTCAGTATGTGATTGATTCTGACCTAAGGATGACAGATTAGACCATTGATTCTGGATCAATTCCAATTAAGATATAATAGATGACATGCTTTCTTTAAGTATTATTTCATAGTAATGGTTAGTGAAATATTCTACAAATGTAAAACATTATACCTGCTAATGCACCACTTTGTCTAATACAGATATCAATCCACTTAGGCATAGAATAACAGTTCATGCACGAAAATGATAAGCCAATATTTCCAAAAAGAAACTTAAGAGTCCAAATTAGCAGTGAGGTATTGGGATGTGATTTTGATAATTTAAGTTTGAAAGGAATATACTCAATTTAAGTGGAGGAAAAAAAGGTACTCAAAACAACTATTTTCTAGGTTATAGAATTTAGAAATAATTAAATATGCAGGTTGAAACTTTGTGATAAATTTTGTGATGCAGGTGAATGACTTTTATTTTACTCAATCACTGTGCTCAGTGCAAAGCTCTTGCAGTATCTGTTCAGGGAGTACACAGTATCCCCTTAACAGTTTCAATGAGCTGGATCATAAACTTAGTCACCATAGATGAAGGCAGGAAATAAAGAAATACTTTATAAGTTTGCTGAGTCACTTCTCTCTCTGGAATCCCAGGGCAGTGACTGATGCTCAGATGAAAATGCAGTAGATCTAGAACATTTTGTTAGCATAGGTCACATGAGCAAAAGTTTAATAAACACCATTACTGAGTATTTTTTCAACCTGGAATCCCCAAGAAAATAAGTATAAATTCCTCTAAAATAAAATAGCTCCAAGTACCAAGGTCTATATTTTATGTATGAAAAATTTCCACTTCAATATCATATGTTCTTTTTGCAATTAAAATATATGCATGATGGTAATTTAAATTACTACTATCATTGTACTTTTTATCACAATAGAAATCAGTATTTTCAATACAGCAAACATATAAGTGGTTATTATTTAGCTATTATTATAAGTAGCAGCTAATCATATGTATATCTTATTTAAAAATACTACTGCTATGTGTAACAAATCACCTAACTAAATGTTAATCTTAAATGTCTCCATTAAAGTTAAGGTTTTCATTTTTAATTTCATTAAAAGTTTCATTCTTAATTTTAGAAAGGAATATATTAAAAATCCATTGAAATCCTATTTAAAATATTATCTTGCTGAATTTATTTGGGCAAGGTATTCTAATAATAATAATGAGAATTATCCATTATCTATTTGTTCTCTCCGTAGCATAAACTTTTATCCAAAGCAAATATTTTTCACACTTGTTGAGCTTTTCCTTAAAAAAAATGAGCCTTTGTTTTGTTTAAAAGAAAATATGTTGCTGACAGTAAAACACTGATAGTATCACAGAAACTAACTAAAGATATGCAGAACAGGTCTTTAATTTTTTAAAAATAAATTTAACCTACATACAGAAAAGTAGAACAAAAACTCCCACTTTTACTTAGGGCACTCAAATAGCAAATATTATATCTGATACATGGCAATTCAACATGCATATTTATTGAGAGAAGTGATATTGTTCTATGATTTGACTATTACTAAATTTAAATGATTTTTCTATTATTAAGTTAAAAGGCATATCAATTATTTCATTTTCTTCTTGCATTTCAATTGATTATGTTACATGTGATTTACAAGCAACTGGCCTCCACAAAAGGGGGCAAATTGAGTATTCATCACTCATATATGCATACCTGTTCATTTAGAAATTATCAGTGTTCTTCTTTATAAATACACTTTATTTATACACGGAAGAGAAAATAAAATGAAAATCAAATAACTTGAAATGTAAGTTATAATATTTTATTCCTCCAAGCAATGGATGGTCAAGAACATGCCTCATATTATATGGCCTTATTATTATATTATATTATGATTATATTATATTATATTATATTATATTATATTATATTATATTATATGGCCATATTACATGCCTCAGATTATATGGCCCTATCTCAGGGACCAAAAAAACAAAATCCTTGAGAACAGTGGGTATTCATGACCATTGAGTGTGCTGATACAGTTGGAAAATTGGAAGACAATAAATTTTATCTGTTATAACCAGAAAATCTGATTCTCTTTGAAAAAGAGTATAATTGCAATTTTCTAAGTTATCATTGATTACTTCACATTAATTATGGTGGAATCTGTAAACTGTATTTGATTTGTGCATGCAGCAACTACCACCAGAAATGCAAATAAGCCCCCAATATACTCTTTATTTATGAGAGGGGATGGGTATGATATAACGGTTTAGGCAAAATGTATAACCATAGAATAATTTCTATGATGTATTGACTTAAACATAAAATAAAATATATCAATTCTTATTCTTAATTTCTATGTAAGAGTTTTTCAAGTAACCCATTAAATTGAATTATAGTACAACATTATAGACCATGTGCTATCCATGAGAATTAACCTTCTACACTATGGCTATGAAACAGATCCTAAATACATTGGTCCCAAATACAACTTGATTTCTAATACTTATATTTGCTCTATAAAATATTCTATAATAATTTGTCTCTGATGATTGAATCCATAAAGTGATGGTTTAAAATATTAGTTTTAAAAAAAGAATTCCCTTGCTAAATTAGCAGGATCTCAGAGAAATTGGTTAGTGGATGAGGTCAAGCTTGTTCATGGTGTCGTACTAAGTGTTTTAGGTGCAGGATTAAATGCAGTTTTTTCTGCAGAAGTTTATTGATTTTAGTGAATTGACTGACATAAACTCACAAGAAGAATAATGCTTAAGTCAAATGTCAATCGTTCCAATAACGGTGGGAAAAAATAACTCACAAGTGGATTATGGTAGGCATGTAGATTAATCAGCATGTTTTCTGTTTGTTAGAAAAACTGTATAAGCCCAAATTAAAATTTTAATGACTTTTAAAACATTTTTATAATTTTTATTTTTATGAGTACATAGTAAGTGCGTATATTTATGGGTTACACGAGATATTTTGATGCAGGCATGCACCACATCAGGTTAAATGTGATACCTATTACCTCAAGTTTGTATCCTTTCTTTATGTGACAAACAATCCAATTATATCCTTTTAGTTGTTTAAAAATGTACAACTGTAGTCACCCTGTTGTGTTATCAAATACTGGATCTAATTCATTCTCTCTAACTATATTTTTGTACTCATTAACCATCTCCTCTTCTCCCTGGCCCACTCCCCGCTACCATCCCCAGCCCCTGGTAACTATCATTCTACTCTCCATCTCCAGGAGTTCAATTGTTTTAATATTTATTTAGCTCCCAAAGTGAGTGAAAACATGTGAGGTCTGTCTTTCCGTGCTTGGCTTATTTTACTTAACATAATGATCTCTAGTTCCATCCATGCTATTGTCAATGATAGGATCTCATTCCTTTTATGGCTAAATAGTGCCCCACTGTGTATATGTACCACATTTTCTTGATTTATGTCAATGGAAATTTAATTTGCTTCCAAATCTTGGAAATTGTGAATTCTACTGCAGTAAACATGGGAGTGCTGATATATCTTTGCCATACTAATTTCCTTTATTTTGGGTATATACCTAGTAGTGGATTTGCTGGATCATATGGTAGCTCTATTTTCAGTTGTTTGAGGAAATTCCAAACTGTTTTCCATAGTGGTTGTGACAATTTACTTTCCCACCAACCGTGTACAAGGGTTCCCTTTTCTCTACGTACTTAACCAGCATTTATTATTGCCTGTCTTTTGGATAAAAGCCATTTAAACAGGGTCAAATGATATTTAATTGCAGTTTTTTTTTTCCATTTCTCTGATGATCCGTGATCATGAACATCTTTTCATATACCCGTTTTCCATTTGTGTGTCTTCTTTTGAGATGTGTCTATTCAGATTTTTTGCCCATTGATTAATCAGATTCTAAGATGTTTTTCCTATAGATTTGTTCACACTCCTTATATACTCTGGTAATTAGCCACTTGTCAGATGGATATTTTGCAAATATTTTCCCCCATTCTGTGGATTCCCTCCACTTGTTGTTTTCTTTGCTGTGCATAAACTTTTTAACTTGATGTGATCCCATTTGCCCATTTTTGCTTTGGTTGCCTAGGCTTGTGAAGTGTTACTCAATAAATCTACCCAGTCCCATGTCCTGGAGAGTTTACAAAAGTTATTTTTTTTCTAGTAATTTTATAGTTTCAGGTCTTAGTGTAAGTATTTAATTTATTTTGATAAGACAAGAAGCAGGGGTCTAGTTTGACTTTTCTGCATATGGATGTTTAGTATTCCTGGCACTATCTATTGAAGAGATTGTCCCTTACCCAGTGTATGTTCTGGGCATATTTGTTGAAAATAAGTTCACTGTAGATGTACGGATTTGTTTTTGGTCTCTCTATTTTGATGCATTGGTCTGTGTGTCTGTTTTTATGCCAGTATCATGTTCTTTTTGTTACTATGGCTTTGTGGTATAATTTGAAGTCAGTTTATTTTATTCTTTTTGCTCAGAATAAGTTTGGCTATTTTGGTCTTTTGTGTTTCATATAAACTTTAGGATTGTTTTTATTTCTATCAATAGACAAAGAGGGAATCCTCCCTAACTCATTTGATGAGGCCAGCATCATCCTGATACCAAAGCCTGGCAGAGACACAGCAAAAAAAGAGAATTTTAGACCAATATCCCTGATGAACATCGATGCAAAAATATCCTCAATAAAATACTGGCAAATCGAATCCAGCAGCACATCAAAAAGCTTATCCACCATGATCAAGTGGGCTTCATCCCTGGGATGCAAGGCTGGTTCAACATATGCAAATCAATAAATGTAATCCAGCATATAAACAGAACCAACGAGAAAAACCATATGATTATCTCAGTAGATGCAGAAAAGGCCTTTGACAAAATTAAACAGCCCTTCATGCTAAAAACTCTCAAGAAATTAGGTATTGATGTTACGTATCTCAAAATAATAAGAGCTATTTATGACAAACCCACAGCCAATATCATACTGAATGGGCAAAAACTGGAAGCATTCCCTTTGAAAACTGGCACGAGACAGGGATGCCCTCTTTCACCACTCCTATTCAACATAGTGTTGGAAGTTCTGGCCAGGGCAGTCAGGCAGGAGAAAGAAATAAAGGGTATTCAATTAGGAAAAGAGGAAGTCAAATTGTCTCTGTTTGCAGATGACATGATTGTATATCTAGAAAACCCCATCGTCTCAGCCCAAAATCTCCTTAAGCTGATAAGCAACTTCAGCAAAGTCTCAGGATACAAAATCAATGTGCAAAAATCACAAGTATTCTTATACACCAATAACAGACAAACAGAGAGCCAAATCATGAGTGAACTCCCATTTATAATTGCTTCAAAGAGAAGAAAAGACCTAGGAATCCAACTTACAAGGGATGCAAAGGATCTGTTCAAGGAGAACTACAGACCACTGCTCAATGAAATAAAAGAGGATACAAACAAATGGAAGAACATTCCATGCTCATGGGTAGGAAGAATCAATATCGTGAAAATGGCCATAATGCCCAAGGTAATTTATAGATTCAATGCCATCCCCATCAAACTACCTACCAATGACTTTCTTCACAGAATTGGAAAAAAACTATTTTAAAGTTCATATGGAACCAAAAGAGAGCCCGCATCGCCAAGTCAATCCTAAGCTAAAAGAACAAAGCTGGAGGCATCACACTACCTGACTTCAAACTATACTACAAGGCTACAGTAACCAAAACAGCACGGTACTGGTACCAAAACAGAGATATAGACCAATGGAAAAGAACAGAGCCCTCAGAAATAATGCCACATATCTACAACCATCTGATCTTTGACAAGCCTGACAAAAACAAGAAATAGGGAAAGGATTCCCTATTTAATAAATGGTGCTGGGAAAACTGGCTAGCCATATGTAGAAAGCTGAAACTGGATCCCTTCCTTACACCTTACACAAAAATTAATTCAAGATGGATTAAAGACTTAAATGTTAGACCTAAAACCATAAAATCCCTAGAAGAAAACCTAGGCAATACCATTCAGGACATAGGCATGGGCAAGGACTTCATGTCTAAAACACCAAAAGCAATGGCAACAAAAGCCAGAATTGACAAATGGGATCTAATTAAACTAAAGAGCTTCTGCACAGCAAAAGAAACTACCATCAGAGTGAACAGGCAACCTACAGAATGGGAGAAAATTTTTGCAACCTACTCATCTGACAAAGGGCTAATATCCAGAATCCACAAAGAACTCAAACAGATTTACAAGAAAAAAACAAACAACCCCATCAAAAAGTGGGAAAAGGATAGGAACAGACACTTCTCAAAAGAAGACATTTATGCAGCCAAAAACACATGAAAAAATGCTCATCATCACTGGCCATCAGAGAAATGCAAATCAAAACCACAATGAGATACCATCTCACACCAGTTTGAATGGCGATCATTTAAAAGTCAGGAAACAACAGGTGCTGGAGAGGATGTGGAGAAATAGGAACACTTTTACACTGTTGGTGGGACTGTAAACTAGTTCAACCCTTGTGGACGTCAGTGTGGCGATTCCTCAGGGATCTAGAACTAGAAATACCATTTGACCCAGCCATCCCATTACTGGGTATATACCCAAAGGATTATAAATCATGCTGCTATAAAAACACATGCACACATATGTTTATTGTGGCACTATTCACAATAGCAAAGACTTGGAACCAACCCAAATGTCCAACAGTGATAGACTAGATTAAGAAAATGTGGCACATATACACCATGGAATACTATGCAGCCATAAAAAATGATGAGTTCATGTCCTTTGTAGGGACATGGATGAAGCTGGAAACCATCATTCTCAGCAAACTATCGCAAGGGCAAAAAGCAAACACCGCATGTTCTCACTCATAGGTGGGAATTGAACAATGAGGACGCATGGTCACAGGAAGGGGAACATCACACACCAGGCCTTTTGTTGGGTGGGAGGAGTGGGGAGGGATAGCATTAGGAGATAAACCTAATGTTAAATGATGAGTTAATGGGTGCAGCACACCAAAATGGCACATGTGTACATATGTAACAGACCTGCACATTGTGCACATGTACCCTAAAACTTAAAGTATAATAAAAAAAAGAATCCAGAAAAAAAATAAATAAAATAAATAAATAAATAAAGTTTTTTTCTTCTTTCAATATTAAAAAGAAAAGAAATGTCATACATATTTTGATAGAGATTGCATTGAATCTGTAAATTGTTTGAGGTATGAGTAGTTTCCAAAATTCCTTTTGCTTTTTATTTCTAGTTTGATTCCATTTTAGTCAGATAATAACTTTGATGTAATTTCAATGTTTTTGAATTTTTTAAGACTTGTTTTGTGTGCTAACGTGGACTATACTTGAGAGTTATCTGTATGCTGAGGAGAACAATGTGTATTCTGAAGTGGTTGGATTAAATGCTCTGTAAAAAGATATATTAGGTCCACTTAGTCTATAGTGCAGACTAAATCTATGTTTCTTTGATGATTTTCTGTCTGGATGATCTGTCCAATCCTGAAAGTGAAGGATTGAACTCTGCAGCTGTTATTGAATTTAAGCCTATCTCGCTCTTACAGTTTTTGCTTTTTTTTTTTTTTTTTTTTTTTTTTTTTGAGACAGAGCTTCTCTTTTGTCACCCAGGAAGGAGTGCAATGGCATGATCTCGGCTCACTGCAACCTCCACCTCCCAGGTTCAAGCGGTTCTCCTGCCTCAGCCTCCCAAGTAGCTGGGATTACAGGTGACCACCACCATGCCCAGCTAATTTTTGTAGTTTTAATAGAGACAGGGTTTCACCATGCTGGCTAGGCTGGTCTCAAACCCCTGTCCTCAGGTGATCCACCTGCCTCGGCCTCCCAGAGTGCTGGAATTACAGGCATGAGCCACGGTGCCCAGCCTCTTATAGTATTTGCTTTATATATCTGTGTACTCCAGTGTGGGGTGAGTGTATATTTATAATTATTACATCATGTTGCTGAATTGACTTTCTGATCATTACATAATATGCTTCATTTTCTCTTTTTATAGTTTTTGTCTTTAAGTCTATTTTGTCTTATATAAATATAGCTACTTATGCTCTTTTTTATTTCTATTTGCATGGAATTTCTTTTTTAATTGCTTTATTTTCAGTCTATGTGTGTCTTTGTAATGTGTGGTTTTTTTGTAGGTAGCAGATCTTTGAGTCTCATTTCTTATCCATTCTGCCACTCTGTATCTTTTGATTGGATAGTTTAGCCCATTTACATTCAATGTAATTATTGATAAGGAAGGACTTACTCCTGCTATTTTGTTATTTGTTTTCTGGTTGTTTTGTGGTCTTCTTTTTTTCCTCCTTTCTTGGCTTCCAATCTAGGTACATGAAATATCTTTTCATTTTTTAGTTTCTCTGGTCATGTATTTTAATTTCTTACATGTTATTTTTTGTGTCTCTGTTGTAGGTTTCTGATTTGAGGTTACCAAGAGGCTTTCAAACAATATCTTATAACCCACTATTTTAAAATAATACAACTTAACTGATTGCATAAGCAATCAGACTGTCAAATAGGCAAAAAGAAAATAAATAAAAACTCTGTACTTGTTACTTTATCACCCTACTTTTTAACTGTTCGTTCTTTGTATTGTAGTTATTATTTTTAATCAGGTCATCTTTTATTTTTTATACTGAAGTTATAAATAGTTTACACACCACAATTACAATATTATCATATTCGATGTTCCTCTATGTACTTGCTATCACAAGTTAACCTTCAATTATATTTTATTGCTCATTAACATCTTTTTTTCTTTCAGACTGAAGAACTCCCTTTAGCATTTTTTGTAGGATAGGTCTTATATTGTAGAAATTTCTCAGCTTTTTTTTGTCTGGGAAAGATTGTATTTATTTTTTATGTTTGAAGGATATTTTTGCTGCATATCCTATTCTGGGATTTTTTTTTTCCTTCAGCGCTTTAAATCTGTCATGCCATTCTCTTCTGCCCTGTAAGATTTGCACCAAACGGTCTGCTGCTAAGTGTGTTGGAGATCCATCCTATGTTATTTGTTTCTTTTCTCTTGCTGCTTTTAGGATCCTTTCTTTATCCATGCTCTTTGGGAGTTTGATTACTAAATATCTTGACATAGTTTATTTCTGTTACATCTGCTTGGTGTTCTATAACTTTCTTGTACTTAAATGTTGTATATTTTTCTTGATTTGAGAAGTTATTAGACCTTTGAATAAACTTTCTACCCAGGCTCTCATTATCTATCTACTTTAAGGCCAATAACTATTAGATTTTCCTTTTTTAGGCTATTTTCTAGATGTGGCAGGTAGGCTTCATTATTGTTATTCTTTTTGCATTTTTCTCCTCCGACTGTGTAGTTTCAAATAACCTGTCTTCAAGCTCACTTATTCTTTCTTCTGCATGATCAGTTCTGCTGCTAAGAGACTGACACATTCTTCAGTATGTCAACTGCATTTTCAACTCCAGAATTTCTGCTTGACTTTTTTAATCATTTAAATCTCTTTGTTAAATTTATCTCATACAATTCTGAATTCTTTCTCTGTGTTATCTTGAATTTCATTGAGTTTCCTCAAAATGGCTATTTTGAATTCTCTGTCTGAAAGGTCACATAACTCTCTCTCTTCAGGATCGGTCCCTTGTGCCTTATTTATTAGTGAGGTCATGTTTTCCTGGGTGGTCTTAGTGCTTGTGGATGTTTGTCAGCTTCTGTGCAGTGAAAACTTAGGTATTTATTATAGTCTTCATATTCTGGGCTTGCTGTACTCATTCTTCTTAGAAAGGCTTTCCAGGTATTCAAAGGGACTTGGGTGTTGTAATCTAAGTTTCTGGTCACTTCAGCCAATCTGCACTGGAGGCACCCAAAGCCCAGTAATGGTGTGGCTCTTGAAGATTCCATAGAGGTGCTGCCTGGGTGGTTTTAGAAAAGATCTTGAGGAATTCTCTGGATTACTGGTTGGAGACTCTTTTTCCTTTCCTTCCTTTTTCCAAAACAAGCAGAGTCTCTCTCTCTGTGCTGAGTTGCCTTGAGTTGGGGGAGGGTTGACACAAACAACCCCATGGCCATCACCACTGGGACTGCACTGGATGAATCTTGAAGACAGCACAGTTCTGGTTCTCACCGAAGGCCTGCAGTAACCACCTCCTGGCTACCGCCTGTGTTCACTCAAGGACCTAGGGCTCTAAAAACAGCAGGTGGCAAAGACAGCCTCGCTTTTGTCCTTCTCTTTAGGGCAGTGAGTTCTGGTCCAGAGATGTCGTCCTGAAGCCAGGGCCTGACGTTGGAAACCTTAGGAATGTACCTGGTGCTCTATTCTACTGCAGCTGAGCTGGCATGCATGCCACAAGACAAAGTCCTTCCTACTCCTTCCTCCCCTTTCCACAAGCAGAGGAGTTTCTCCCCACAGTCACTACCACCACAGGCCTGTGGCCAGTACTGCCTGGCTACTGGTCATGCTTACTGAAGGCCCAAGAGCTCTTCAGTCAGCTTCTGGTGAATACTCCCAGGCCTGGGACTCTCCGTTCAGGGCAATGGGCTCCCCTCTGGCCTAGTGCCAGTGCAGAAATGCTGTCCAAGAGCCAAGGCCTAGAATCCAGGACCCTAACAGCCTGCTTAGTGCTCTATACCTTGTGGTCAAGCTGATACCTAAGCTGCAGGACAAAGTTCCCTTTACTCTTTCCTCTCCTTTTCTCAAGTTTATCCTGTAGCCACCACTGCTAGGAATGTGCTGAGTCACACCTGAGTCTCATCCAAGGCCCACAATGAGTAATTCTTGGCTGTTGATTCTGACTATTCAGGGCTCAAGGGTTCTTTATTCAGCTGGGGATGAATCCTGCCAGAATTTGTTCTTTGCCTTCAAGACAGTGGGTTCCCTTCTGGCCCATTGTGGGTCTAGAAATAACATCAAGGAGTGAGAGCCTGGAATGGGGGCCTCAGGACTCTGCCCAGTTCCCTATCCAACTATGGCTGAGCTGGTATCAAAGTTGCAAGACAAAGTTATTTTTACTCTTCCCTCTCCTCTCCTCAGTTGAAGGGAGGAGTCTCTCCTGGAGCTGTGAGCTGCGCTCCCTGGGATTAGCAGAGGAGTGGCACAAGTACTCACTTGGTCACCCCAGCTGGTGTCTCACTAGGTCACTTGTCCCCCATGTTCACTGGCTCCAAGCCCAGCAAAGCAGCAGGATTTGCCCCATGAATTGCAGTTCTTTTGGCCTAGACTACCTTTCAAGATTATTTAGAACCTCAGAGCAATTTATCGCATGGTAGTGAGGCTTGCTGGAAGTCACATTATGTCTGCTGGGGTGGGTAATTTCCCTCTGGCTAGGGCTGGTCTAAATGCTCCCTCCATGGGACCCAGCAGAATTCTGCCCAGTGTTGCCACTCACTGTGATAGAGCAACCATGAGTTCTGATGCAAAGTCCCCAAATCACTGCACTCTCCCTCCCCCAAAAGCAAATATTCTCTCTCTACACCATGCAGCCACTGCCAGAAGATAGGAGCAATTCAAGACTGTCTTTCCTATCCCATTCAGAGCCTGTTTCAGTGATAAGAAGTTAAAACCAGGTACTTTGATCACTCACCTGAAGTTTGATTCTTATTAAGGTGATTTTTTGTGTGGAAAGCTATTCAATTTGCTATTCCTCCAGGGAGGTTAATCAGTGAAGGCTTCTATTTGGCCACCTTGCTCCACCTCCCCCTTAATGATTCTTAATGTACTCAGAACACAAAAAATAATTGATTATTATTCATGGAAAATGCCATAAAGCATTGCTTGTGTGATACAACTGTTAAGTGGCGTATTAGTCAGTTTTCACATTGCTATAAAGAAGTACCTGAGATTAGGTAATTTAAGAAGAAAAGAGGTTTACCTGACTCACAGTTGAGCAGGCTTAACAGGAAGCATGATAAGGAGGCCTCAGAAAACTTACAGTCATGGTAGAAGATGAAGGGAAAGCAATGACCTTCTTCATATGGTGGCAGGAGAGAGAGAGAGCATGATGGGGGAAGTGCCACACGCTTTTAAGGCATCAGATCTCATGAGAACTCACTCACTATCACAAGAACAACATGGGGGAGATCCACCCTCATGATCCAATCACCTCCCATTAGGCACCTCCTCCAATTTGCCATGAGATTTGGGCAGAGACACAAAGCCGAATCATATCAAGTGGATATATAATCTCAGGTCCCAATATCATTTCTCCTCAGAAATGTGGTGAAAATAATAAAAAAAAAATCTTTAGCTTTTCTTTTCTTCAGGATCCCTCTTGTCTACTACTTATTGGCAAATCTAGTTTTCTTAGATATGGTAACATTTAAGGGCCTTGATATGGTCTTTGTGGAAAGGGTAACAAGCATGTCAAGGCAAAATGATTCATGGTCAGAGGTTTTGGAATGCTATTGCATTTTTTACAGTTCTCTCAGGCCATCACAATGCAAAGTAGTATATTAAATTTTCACCCATCATTTGAAATAATTTACATTGATTATATCCAAATATTTTTTCTATAAAGTATAAAAAAGATGTTCTCAAAGTATGATAATACGCCAAAAGCCAATGTTTTCTAGAATGGCTTTCTTGTAAGACAGTGGAATTCATTTAATTGGTTTTACATGTATCAAAATATATATATTCTTATCTTCCTAGTTTTGATACGGCAAATATACACTTTTTTTGTTTTTTAAGAACAGGTTTATTGAAATATCACTGATGTATATAAGCTACACATAAAGTTTATAACTTGATAATTATTGACATATGTACTCATCTATGAAGGCCATTGCAAAAATCAAGATAAGGAATATATCTCTCATCTCAGAAAATGTATATGTATTCCTTCTTTCTGATCCAGGAAAACACTGGTCAGATTTCTCTCACTATGCATTCTATTGACTTCTGAAAATTTTATATAAATTGTACCCTTGTAGGTTTTTTTTCTGGAAGGGATCTTCTGACTTATTTCACTCAGTATAATTATTTTGAGATTCAGCCATGCTGCGTGTACTTTATACTTGCTAAGTAGTATTATATAATATAAACATGCCACAGTGTGTGAATTCATTCTTCTGTTCATAAATATTACATTGGTTGATTTTTCTAGCTCTGGAGGCTAGAAGTTCAAATTTAAAGTGTCAGCAAGGCCATGCTCTCTCTAAAGACAATAGGGAACATTCTAATATGTACCTTTCTCTTTGCTTCTGATATTGCCTACTTTGCTAGCAATCCTTGCCATTCCTTGGCTTGTTAGAGACATTTCTGAAACTTTCTTCTTTCATTGTTGCATAATGTTTTGTCTCCGTTTCTCCACCTGTATCCCTCTTCTCTTCCGACACCACTCATGATGGATTAGAGCCTACTCTAAAGAAATCATCTTAACTTATTTACATCTCCAAAAATCGTATTTACCTGTAAGTACTGGGGGTTAAGACTTCAACATATCTTTTTAAAGGATACACTTTAACCTGTAATGACTGATTTCTCAGAATCTTAACTTGGTCTATTTTAATGTAACATCCTGGTATAGGTTTGATGTTATTGCTATATCCATGTTTGGGTGAGTGTCATAGTAGTCATCTATTTACTGATAGCTTTAATGATAGACAACTGATAACACACATGGATAAGCCAAGAAATAGTAGCAATGTATTTCTAGCAAATATAAAATATGTATTTTTTTTAGTTTGAATTTTTTGTCAAGATTTAATAATTCAGAAATTTTACATAAAAACCTAGATGCCACACTAAACCTGAAATATCAAGCACTGGGCAACAGAAGTTCTTAGTTATCATACTGCATCAATCAATTGACAGCAGTAATACTAAGGCATATTCAGTAAGTAATATGATTGATCATTTTAATATTTTTCTGAACCATTTCATATTGCTTCTTGAGTCAAATTTATTTTTCCATATTATCTGCCTTGCCCTCATAAGTATATGTATTTTTACTCCAGTCGACCTTAATCTCTCGAGCTCTTTGAACATCAAAACAACTTCATAATATAATTATAACAAACCCACAAGAACACAAGGCCCAGAATGAGAAAGATAATGTTTTAATAATATTTATAGGCACCATATTGTCTATGCTAGGTCCCGATATTTCTGTTTGTTGAATATTTCCTAAATAATGCATTGAGCTTTATTTTGTTTTTACAAAACAAAAAATGTTTTGCATCTTAGTACCTTAAAATTACAAGACTCAAATGAGCAAAGGACAGTTGCAAATATATGAATAGAGATGGAAATTTCCTAAATAAATGTACTTTTGCACAATCCTAAATGATTATCAGCATATAGTAAATTGTTTGCTTACAAACAGTTAAATCTATTCACTAGTTTATTCTTAGTGTTTGCCCGTGTGCATTAACATTACTGCATTTTCATTAGCATTTAGCTATTACATTGAAAACTTTCACATTAGGGAGTATGGAGAAAAGTGTTTACCCTTTGATGGAGAATAATAGTGGTCATTCATGATTTCCTAGAAATCCTTGCAGTGGTTGCATCCTCAAAATTATTTTACTTATTATTATGTAGAGGTTACTGGTTTTAACTGAGGTACAGAATATACATTTGTAGAATGACATAGAGGGAAAAAAATGAATGGACTTTGGAATCAAACAGAGCTAGTGCTATTTGTTAGTATGTTATGTCAATATAAATATTTTACATTTAGCTTCAGTTTTATCTTCTGAATGAAGGAAATAATAGTATGGGCTGTTTATTATTATTGTAATGTTCTGTTTAGTCTCACTCCAAAAAAAACAGGAACTTGCTCTACTTTCTTCTGTATTTCCATCCATTGTTCTACATTAATTATTTTCTTGAAGCATACAAAATGCTTTTTTTCTAATCTAAGAAAACAAAACTTTATCTACTCCCTCAACATACTGTGTCAAAGCCTTCCCTCCCAATCAGTCTTTGAAACAAAACAAACAAACAAAAAAAGTTAATCATGCTTACTTTTTACTTTCTTATTCTGCCTTCTCTCTTAAGCCCACATCATTGAACCTTTGACCCAATCCATCTCAGATACTGCTCTCATTACAATTACTAACCATCACTCTTCAGTCCTTAAATTAATGTGTCTCTCTGTGACTCTTTCTATTCAGATTTGGTTTACAGATCTCTACTTTAAGTCCACTTCTTCCTCTTAGGCTATCTTCAGTCTGTTTTGCTACTTGCTTTCCTCTTTATTTTGTTTAATTATCACTGCCTCTCCAAATCCTATTTTTGATCCAATTCACTTAAAAAATAGACTGGAAATGTTCACCTCCCTTTAGTTTTCCTTAATTCTTTATTCATAAAAATGTCCAAAATGTTGAAAAAATAGTGCAGCTAATACCTACAAACTTAAATTCACATCTCTCTCTCTCTCTCTCTCTCTCTCTGCCTCTCTACAGCAAGTGGCAGATGTTATAAAACTTCCTCTCTAAATATTTCAGCATAACTCTTAAATAAGAAACATTCTCCCATACACTAGTATTCTACCGCCATAACAAAATACTACAGACTGTGTGCTTACACAACAGAAATTTATTTCTCACAGTTGTCATGGCTGGAAATCCAACTCAAGATGTAAGCAGGTTTGGTTTTCCCTGAGGTCTGTTTCCTTGTCTCATAGATAGGCATCTTCTGGCTATGTCCTCACAAGGCTCTTCCTGTGTGTTTGAGTGTGTGTGACGTGTGTGGTGTGTGTGTATATCATTGTTGTATCTTCTTTCTTTTTTAAATTAATTTTGTTTTTAATTAACACGTAATCATTGTACCTATTTCTGGGGTAAATTGTGATGTTTCGATACATATATAGATTGTGTAATAATCAAATCAGGATAATTGGCATATCCATCACCTCAAACACTTGTCATTTCTTTGTAGTAAAGACATTAAAAATGCTCTCTTCTAGATATTTCTGGATAGACAATATATTATGGTTGACTATAGTCACCCTGTAGAGCAATAGAACACAAAAACTTATTCCTCTCATTGAGCTCTACTTCGTAATCATTGACCAGCCTCTCGTGAGGACAACAGTTCTAGTGGATTAGGGTCTCAATCTTCTGATCTAACTTATCCATAGTTATCTCCTTGAAGATCTTGTCTCCAAATCCAGTGAAAAAATAAGTTTCCTCCTTTTTATTTTCTATTTTATTTATTTATTTATTTACTACTTAACTTTTATTTTAAGTTCAGGGGTACATGTGCAGGCTTGTCATATAGGCAAACTGTGTCATGGAAGTTTGCTGCACAAATTATATCATCACTCAGGTATTAAGTCTAGTACCCATTTAGTTATCTCTCTTGATCCTCTCCCCCGTCCCACCCTATGCCCTCAGATATGCCCCAGTGTGTGTTGTTCCCCTCTATGTGGCCCATGTTTTCGTCATTTAGCTCCTACTTATAAGTGAGAACATATGGTATTTGGTTTTGTATCCCTGCATTAGAGGTTGCTAAGGATAATGGCCTCCAACTCCATTCATGTTCCTGCAAAGGACATGATCTCATTTTTTTATGGTTGTGTAGTATTCCATGTCCTATATATAGCACCTGTTCTTTATCCAGTCTACCACTGATGGGCATTTAGGTTGATTCCATGTCTTAGCTATTGTGAATAGGGCTGTAATGAACATACATGTGTATGTGTCTTTATAATAGCATCATTTATATTCCTTTTGGTATATACCCAGTAATGGGATTGCTGAGTCCAATGGTATTTTTGTTTTTAGGTCTTTGAGGAATCTCCACACTCTCTTCCACAATGGTTGAACTAATTTACACTCCCACCAACAGTGGATAAGCATTCCTTTTTTCTCCACAACCTCGCCAGAATCTGTTATTTTTTGACTTTTTAATAATAGCCATTCTGACTGGTGTGAAATTATGTATCATTATGGTTTTGATTTGCATTACTTTAATGATCGGTGACATTGAGCTTTTGTCATACGGGGAACACCATTCATTCCTTAACATCTTACATAACAACAATATCAATATTCCTTTCAGGAAGTTTAACAATTCTATATCATAAAATATTGTTTATATTCTAATTTCCACATTTGCCTTCAAAAAGTTTTATAGCTAGCTGTTTCTATTACTCAATATCCTATCAAGATTCACATTGCAACTAGGTGATTTATGTCTTTATTCTTTTTTTTTTAAACAAAGAAATCTCCTGCATCATTTTATTTATTTTTACTTTTCCTTGTTTATGTATTGTTTTACATTGATTTTATTTTTGAAGCATTCAGGTCATCATCTTGTCTAATGATTCACAACTGGGATATGTGAGAGTGGTTCCTCATGATCCAGTTCAGGTTCATGTTTTTTTGGCAGGCTTGCTTCATAGGTGACATGTAATTCCTATTGCATGTTGACTTATCCTGGTATTATTGAGCTATCTTTATTTTTGAATTCTGTACATTTTCTTTATCTCCTTTCCATTTGTATACATATATGGGGGTATATGTGCAATTTTGTTACATTCATAGATTCCCTAGTGGTCAAATCAGGGCTTCTAGAGTATCTGTCACCTGGATAATGTGCATTGTACCCATTAACTAATTTGTCTTCAATCTCCCCACTTTTACCCCTTCACCCTTCTAAGTCTACAATATCTATAATTTCGTTTTCTACATACATATGAATACACTGTTTACACTCACTTATGAGTGAGATTATGTAATATTTGTCTTTCTGTTCCTGGCTTGTTTCACTTAGGATAATGGCCTCCAGCTGCATCCATGTTGCTGTGAAAGACATGATTTTATTTTTTCCATTGCTGAATAGTATCCCATTGTGTATATATAGCGTATTTTCTTTATCTATTTAAACACTGATGGATATTTTTATTTATTCCATATATATTCTATTGTGAATAGTGCTGTGATAAACACAGGAGTGAGGTATGTTTTTGATATATTGACATCTTTTCCTTTGGGAAAAGTGGTGGGAGTGCTAGATCGAATTGCAGTTCTATTTTTAGTTCTTTGATAAATATCAATACTGTTTTCATAGAGACTGCACTAATTTACACTCCCATCAACAGTGTATAAGAGTTCCCTTTTCTCCACATTTTCACCACTATCTGGTTTTTGCCTTTTTAATAACAGCCCTTCTGATTGGGGTAAGATGTTATCTCATTGTGGTTTTGACTTGCATTTCTTGGATGATTAGTGACGTTGAGCATTTTCACATTTATGTGTTGGCCATTTGTGTATCTTCTTTTAAAAAATATCTATTCTTATCCTTTGCCCATTTTTAATGGGATTATTTGGTTTTGCTGTTGTTGGTGTTCAGTCATTTGTGTTACTTCTATATTGTGGATATTAATCCCCTGTTGAAGAAATAGTTTGCAAATATTTTCTCCCATTCAACAGGTTGTCTCTTCACTCTGTTAGTTGCTTATTTTGTTGCGCAGAAGCATTTTAGTTTAACTAAGTCCCACTTGTCTACTTCGTGTTGTTGCTGCTTATGCAGTCTTAGTCATAAATTTGTCACCTAGGCCAATGTCCAGAAGAGTTTTCCCTAGGTTTTCTTCCAGTACTTCTAAAGTTTCAGTTCTTATGCTTAAGTCTTTTTCGTTGTTGTTGAGATAGGGTCTGTCTTGCTCTGTCCCTCAGGCTTGTATCCAGTACATAATTATGGCTCACTGAAGCCTCATCCTTCTGGACTCATGATCCTCCCACCTCAACCTCCCAAGTAGTTGGGAAGATAACCATGCCCAGCTAATTTTTAAAATGTGCTATAGAGATGGGGTCTTTCTGTGTTTCCTAGGCTGGTCTCAAATTCCTGGGCTCAAGCGGTCCTCCTATCTTGACATACCAGTGCCAGGATTATAGGTGTGAGCCACTGTGCCCAATCTGTTTAAGTCTTTCATCTGTATTGAGTTGCAGGAAGTCCTACATAGAACAATCAGGCAAGAGAAAGAAATAAATGACATTTAAATTGGAAAATAAGCATAAATTATCCCTGTTTGCTGAGGATTTGATCTTATATCTAGAAAAACCTAAAGATTCAACCAATACCCAAAGGAATACCCAAAAAGACACAATCACGCATATGTTCATTGCAGCACTATTCACAATAGCAAAGACATGGAAGCAACCTAGGTGTCCATCAGTAATGGATTGGATAAAGAAAATATGGTACGTATACACAATGGAATACTATGCAGGCATAAAAAAGTGAAATCATGTCATTTGCAGCCATATGTGTGCAACTGGAGGCAATTATCCTAAGCAAATTAATGCAGGAACAAAAAATAAATGCAGTATGTTGTCATTTATAAGTGGGAACTAAACATTGGGTACACTTGATATCAAGATGGGAAAGATAAACACTGGGGACTACTAGAGAGTGGGAAGAGGGAAGGAGGAAAAGCCGAGAAACTACCTATTGGCTACTCTGTTCACTACCTGGGTGATGCAACCAATCATATTCAAACTTCACTGTCACACAAAATACTCATGCAACTAACCTGCACATGTACCTCGTGAATCTAAAATAATAGTTGAAATTATATAAAATTGACAGATTTGATAAATAAATTCAGTTATGTTTCAGGGTACAAAATCAAATTACAAAATTCAGTAGTGTTTCTAAACACCAATGATGATATATGAGAGGGAAATCAAGAAGGTGATCCCTTTTACGATAGCTACAAAACAAAACAAAATGCCTAGGAATAAATTTAACCAAGGCAGTAAAAGACCTCTGCAAGGAAAACTACAAAATACCTGTGAGAGAAATTGAAAATGACACAAACAAATGGAAAAATATTTTATACTCATGAATTGGAAGCAATCTATAGATTCAATACAATCCCTATCAAAATGCCAAGATCATTTTTCACAGAATTAGAAAAAAAAGTCCTAGAATTTATATGGAATAAAAAAATTAGCCCAAATAGCCAAGACAGTTCTGAGGAAAAAGAACAAAGCTGGAGGCATCACATTGCCTGACTTCAGATTATATTACAAGGCTCTAGTAACCCAAACATAATGATACTGATATAAAAATAAACACATAGAAAAATGGAACAAAACAGAGAATCCAGAAATGGAGCCACATATTTCCAGTTAAGTGACCTTTGACAAAGATGATAAGAACATACTTTGGGAAACGGACCTCGTTTTTAGGAAATGGTACTGGGAAAATTGGTTATGAAACTGAACCCCTATTTCACACTATATATAAATTCTGCACATTTTCTTTAAACTATCTGAACCATGAATACTGCCTTATTTATTGTCTGTATGACCAAAATATCCAAATCTATATCTGATCTTCAAACATTGAATTGCACATTTATACATTCAGTAGACTGGCTTTGTCTATCCAGATGTCCAAAACCTGAAATTCAGATTGCCCCAAAATGAACATATTATGCATTCCTTCCAACTCCTAAACATGTTCCACATTTTGTTCTGCAATTTTTTTAGTCATGAAGTTACCCTTTACTAAATTGTATAAGACACTCTCTGAAACATAAGTGCACACCTTCCAGAGTTAATCTTGTGTATTTTACCATTACTTATGGCTCATATATCTTCCCCTCTTCCTTTTCAATATTTAGATTTAAATTAGCAAGGCCGGGCACAGTGACTCACGCCTGTAATCCCAGCACGCTAGGAGGCCGAGTTGGGTGGATCGCTTGAGGCCTGAGTTCAAGACCAGCCTGGTCAACATGGTGAAACCCCGTCTCTACTAAAAATACAAAAAAAAAAAAAAAAAAAAAAAAAAAAATTCAGCCGGGCGTGCCGGCACGTGCCTGTAATCCCAGCTACTCAGGAGGCTGAGGCAAGAGAATCACTTGAACCCGGGAGGCAGAGATTGCAGTGAGGTGAAATCGCACCACTGTACTCCAGCCTGGGCGATGGAGTGAGACCCTGTCTCAAACAAACAAACATACTTTTTTTCTTGTGCTATGGAAATAGTGTAACTCTAATTTCTATATTTATATCTTATCTCCTCAAATTCAAATTGCTGCCAAAAGGAAATGTTTAGACTGCAAAGCTTTCAGGTTATTTTCCTGCATAAAGCATTCTCTAGTGTCAGGGTTCTTCAAAGAAATAGAACCAATAAGCTAGGTAGATAGAGATTTATTACAAGGGATTGACTCACTCAATTATGGAGGCTGAGAATTCCTACAATCTAACATTGGCAAGTTGGAGACTGAGGAAAGATGGTATTGTTCCGGTATAAACCCAGAAGCCTGAGAACCAGGGGAGATAATGGTGTAAGTCACAGCCCATGTCAAAGTCCCTAAAACCGAGAGTGCCTCTATCCAAGAGGAGGAGAAGATGGATGTCCCAGCTCAAGCAGAGGGTGCATTTGCCCTGCTTCCCTTTTTTGGTTTATTTAGATCTTCAGTAGATTTGGTGATGTCCACCCACATTTGTGAGGTCAGTCATCTTTACTAGCTACCAATTCAAAAGCTAATCTTTTTCAGAAACACATCCACTGACACACCCAGAAATAATGCTTTCCCAGTTTTCAGAGCATCTCATAGTCCAGTCAAGTTGGCACATAAAATTAATCTTCACATCTTGTCTTTTATCACCAATAACAGTGGTGTTCAAGAAAGAGTGCTCATTGCTCTAGCAATGTAAAAATCTAGCATGGTACAGGCATAAAATATTTATATTTTTTATTTTAATTTTTATGCATAAGTATATCAGAATGGTACACCCAGTTTTCCACTTATTTGAAAATAAATGTAATTTTTTTTTTATTTTGATACTCCTTCAGTCTTGGTCTAAGTCCATGTTCTTAGCTTACGATAATCTTTTACATTGCCCCTGAGCCTTATATTCCTGGGCATTCAGAAATAAACTGGAACTTTTATTTTGAATGTTTCTTTTGTCAAGCAGAAATAGTATACATCCAGATAATTACAAAACTGTACATTTATTCCAAAGGAGTTTTGCTACATATTTTTTCACAAATAACAAAACACTCTTGGCATTCATAGAGGAAAAAGGAGTTTATTAAATTTTTTTTGGACTTTTTCTCTTGACTTTTAGGAATATTTTTGTATTAATGAAACACTATTTTTCTTTATAATAACCAGGAAAAAAAAGTTTGTCTTTTCAGAGAAGTATCAACTCTAACAGAAAGTGTAGTTAAAGAAAAGGACATAAATATTAGGGAGGAAATATAAAATAAATGTAGTTTGAAAGTTGCTCATTAACTATAATCTAATATGAATAACTGATGTGTGTTTTCTCAGGCAAAATTGAGATAATGGTGACATTCGTCTGAGATTGAATTGAGTTTATTTAGATATCTTCAGGTTATCTCACTCGTCTCTCGTATCATTATCAATTTGTATCCTGAGATCATTTTTCTTTTCCTTAAATCTTTGTTCTTATTGCCAGAAAATCATTCTTGGGAAACTAGTCACCACAATAGATTTGTCAACCAGTAAAATGGAGAATTTAGACTGTGCTTGATGAATATCTTAGCTCACTTTCCTGCTGGGCATAAAAATGTACCCAGTCTGTCAAAGAAGCACTAATTTTATGTCACTCTAAAGCCACATATTTTTCAAAACCAAGATTTTGAAATGTAAAATATTGGACTTATTTTATTATGTGTGACTTTTTAAAAATAGTTGATTGTTAATAATGAACTGGATCATATAGAAAACTTTAGATACCTAACAAGATTTTTCCGCTTTGTGGGGTTTTGTTGTGGTGGTTTCTGGGTCTTTATGTATGTAGATATCTACAACAGCCATATTTCCAATTGCATTTTACGTGATCTTCTGAAGATTAAAATGGTGCTTCAGAATTAGTATGATACAGGATGGTGAAAAATTTGATATTACATGTATATATTATATATTTATGTGTACACGCTATTAAATTAAATATTTTCATATTTAATTCATATCTGACTTTGGGCTATCATTCACAACTTGTAATGATTTGCTGAAGTAATTGTGTAATAATTATGCTAATATTTACATTTTTATGCCTTGGGATAATTTTAAAGCATTTTTTGATTAAGATTCTTTGGAGAACTCAATATGCAAACTAGTAACTTGGTCAAGAACATCAGTATCTTCACTGGCAAAATTCGCTGTTTCATAGAGTATTCATGGTCTGGTTGTAGCATTTAAACTGAAGCATTATTATATCTGTAGTTAGCACTAACTAGGTAAATAACTCAGAAAAATTATCCATATGTATTAAAATAATAATGAGGTTCTTATAAAGTATAATTTGAATTGATTGCATTTGAGGCACGTTTACATTGTTATTAATTCCTTTTACAAAATAAATATTTAGATTGAAAAAGAAATACATTTTAATGACTATGTATGAGTAGAATAGATATGCAATTTATTCTACATACTGTTATGTATTTGTATTTTTATATTTAGGTAAATAAGATTTAAAATACCATAACCTTTTCCTTAGCTAGTAGTAAACAATGAAAGAGCTCACACCTTAAAAAAATCTAACTTTATTCATACATGTAGTTGAAAAGGGAGGCATTTTAAAATCCTTTTTCAGATAGTTGTGAGTTTTTAAAATAGTACACCTGAACTCAACAATTGGTAGGTTTTATAAAGTTTAATTGCCAAATGGAACCTAAAGCTACCTTATTAAACTTTTATATTTTGTTAATTAAAATCCATTGTTCAATCTTACACTGTGAGAACATTTGTTAACCATATATTATTTGTAACATTTTTTTACCCATGCATCAATCATTTTTTAAAAAGTTGTTCACAAAGATGTATGTATCTTTCAACATGGACACACATTATTTTAAAAATCACAATTGCTAATATCAATAATCTCATCAGGAAATTATTTAAGGGTTACAGTACTGTCAAATCCATGAGACAAATGCAAGCTTTCCAAAATTTTATATTTGTTTGAAATATTGAACTTCATCACTGGCAACAAATGCTAACGAGTAGTTTCTTTGAAGAGGCAGGGTCTCTTTTCACAGTCAAAAAAATATCTATCCAATACCCAACTTTAAGCAATCACATTTTTTTTTCTGACACTACGCAAATAAAAACTAGGTAAAAATGTTCCATGAGAGAACAGCTAGTGTAGCTCACAGCTCACAACTCAAAGTGCCACACATGTACTTGGCTTCATAACACAGTATTAGAGCTTCATGCGTAGTTCTGATTTCTGCACAATGAATACAAAAAACAATGCATGCTCGAGGGTACATAATTGTGTGTGTGTATTTTTTTTTATCAAGGAGAAATTGACCTCTTTTTCCCTCTCTTCATCCCTCTGTCCCCCCATCCCTGTCCCTTCTTCCCCTTCCCTCCCCTCCCTCCCCTCCCCTTCCCTCCCTTCCCTTCCCTTCCCTTCTTTCCCCCATTCTTCCTTCTTTTCTTTTTCTCTTTCTCTCTTCTTCCTCCCTTCTTTCTTTCCTGCTTGTGTTAAGTGTTGAAGAATATAATGAGTCTTAATATGGTTTAGAGCCACTTCCTTGATGTATGCAAAGGCACCAGTGTTTCTCAAATCAATTAATTACTTAACTGATCGATTTTTAATTTACAAATACGATTGTATATATTTCTAGCGTACAACATGATAACTGATATATGTAGACATTACTGAATGGCTAAATCAAAGGCATTGGTATTTTTACCCACCAGCATTTCTTTTTAGCATCACTGTCACTGTCAACACAGTGAAAACAGAAAATACATCATTTGATTATTACAAAAATAGTTTCAGCCTCGAACACCCCTGACAGTCTCTCAGGGATCCCCATGGGGCTAGGTGCCACATTTCAAATACCACTACCTTAATTTAATTTTTGATCCCACACTCTCAGTACCTTAGAATTTATGCATATGTATTATGGAAGAACAACATAAAACCTGACATAATTTAAGGAGACATTTTAATGAATAATTTTATAGAAAACATTACTATCAAGTTTAGGTTCTCATTATCAAGTCCCTTCCAACATTGTGAAAACATATTGAAGAGGACTGACCTAGTTATTGCTCCGTGAGCCCTTTAAGCCAGGGCTACTAAATTATTGTCACTTACAAACATAATTAGCACATCTCATTAGCTAATGAAGATAATGACCATTAAAATTCTCTCCCAATTTATGGTTTCCCATTTATCACAATTTAACAACAATGCTGTTTAAGTGTTATAACAAAATTGGCTTACAAATGACCCCTACACTAACAAGCAGCACCTTGTATCAAGGAACAAAGTATTATTTATTTATTGCATCCTAATTATATTATATAGTGGAGTTGTATTGCTGATGACATTCCAATGCTATTCAGTCAATACAATCTGAATTATCATTTTTAGGTTGAAAGTACAAAGCCACACCACACAGAATGTAACTATTTTTCTCTGGCAATCCTTATTTACAAAGCAGTTATTGTTAATTTCTACATTCCAAGGAGCGATGGATTATTTATTCATTGCATTCTAATTATATTACATAGTGGAGTTGTATTGCTGATGATTTTCCAATGCTATTCAGTCAGTACAATCTGAATTATCATTTTAGGTTGAAAGTACAAAACCACACCACACAGAATATAACTATTTTTCTCTATCATTTTTTTTTTTTAAACGGAGTCTCGCTCTGTCGCCCAGGCTGGAATGCAGTGGCTCCATCTCAGCTCACTGCAAACTCTGCCTCCCGGGTTCACGCCATTCTCCTCCCAAGTAGCTGGGACTACAGGCACCCGCCACCACGCCTGGCTAATTTTTTTGTATTTTTAGTAGAGATGGGGTTTCACCGTTTTAGCCAGGATGGTACTGATCTCCTGACCTCGTGATCTGCCCGCCTCAGCCTCCCAAAGTGCTGGGATTAGAGGCGTGAGCCACCACGCCCGACCTCTAGCAATTCTTATTTACAAAACACTTATTGTTAATTTCTACATTTCAAGTATTTAAATAAAGGATAAATAATTACTCATACAAATAGGCTATAAAAGCATTTCATAAATAATCTTATTTATAATTTGTAAGTGCTCTATTTTTCAAACTCCTTATTTTGTTTTTTCTAAAAATTTATTTTCCAGGTTTTTGTTAAGTACAATTTAAGAATATATGGCATAATATTTTTTAAAGTTTTCACAATTGCTAACATTCTCAAAATGATAATATGGAATGAAAGACTCTTTGGGGACTACTGAAACAATGCATTTATATTTAACTAAGCAAAATGTTAAATTAGGAATTTATGGATTCCTAATGTTATTATGAAGGTTGATGAATTATTGGTCTATTGCCACATGACAAATTATCACAAATGTACTGGGTTAAAACAGCATCCAATTATTTCATAGTTTTTGTAAATCAGGCCTGTAGGCCTGAGTTACCTGGCTATCACAAGGCTAAACCATGTATTGGTCAGGACTATGATCCCACCTGAGGCTCAAGGTCTTCTCCAAGCTTATTTAATTCATTGGAAGAATTTGGTTCCTTGCAGTTGTAGAACTAGTTTTCCCATCTTCTGCTGGCTATTAGCCAGATGTCAGTTTCAGCTTCCAGAAGTAGCCCTTAGGACCTAACCAAAATAGTATCTTACTTCTGCCAAGTCAGCAGGAGAATCAGCCTGCTATGGTGGAGTCTTATAATGTAACATAACATAATGTACCATCATACTAACAGGCTGACTATCCCATCATATTCTTAGATCCTACCCACACTCAAGGTAAAATGATTACACAGTACCTGTACAATAGGAGGTGGGAATCTACCACTCTCTAATACAGAACTGTTTAAGTCTTTCTGAAATGCAAAATATGTCCACCCCCTTTCAGGGTTCCTCAGATTCTCATCCCATTACACCATCAGCTCAAAATCCAGAATCTCATCAAAATATCATCAAGTCAGTATAACTTATAAATCAAATCCAAGCATATATAAGAGGCCTCAGTGTAATTCCGTAAGTAGAGCCCCTGGAGCACAATTCTCTACTGTGAAGTTGCACAACTTAAGAGACAAGTTATTGCCCCCCAACTCTCCCAATTTATAATGGTGGGACAAGGATAGGACAACATTTATCAACATTGTTTCAAAAATAGGAAAATGGAAGATGAGCAGCAATAACTAGTCCCTAACACCCAATCAAGAAAATCCAGCATTTCAGAAGTGTTGGGGACAGCAATAACTAGTACCTTACACTTCTGAAATGTTGGATTTTCTTGATTGGATTTTACGGCTTATCTAAAGGCTATGGCTCTTGGTTGAGAAAATCTGTAAGGCATACCTTTAATTTATGGAAAGGAACTTAGTGTGAATTAAGTCTTCTTGACGTTTTGAACTTTCTAAGATTTTAACTAAAGGTTGTGCAGTCGCACCTCAATTTTTTTTTTGTTTGTAAGACATACTTTCAGCAGCCATTTTTGGTAGGCATCTCTTGCCACTTGGAAAGGCCAATTATTTTAAAAATCATCTACTTCTATTCATGTCTACCCTTTCCTCAACCTATCTCTCTTCTCTCACATTTTACTATAAACTACAAGAAGAATCCAGGCAGCATCTGTGGCATTTAGCTATACAGTTGACTCTTGAACAACACAGGGGCTAGGGGGACTAATCCTCTGTGCAGCTGAACATCCACAAATGGCTTTTGACTTCTCAAAACTTAACTGCTAATGGGTTACTGTTGACCAGCAGCCTTACAGATAACATATACAGTCAGTTAACACATATTTTGTATGTTCTATGTATTAAATACTGTATTCTAAAGTAATCTAGAGAAAAATGTAAATAAGAAAGTCATAAGAAAGAGAAAATAAATCTACTATTCATGAAGTGGAAGTAGATCGTCATAAAGGCCTTCATCCTTATTTTCTTCACATTAAGTAGTCTGAGTAGGAGGAGGAAAAGGAAGAGTTGGTCTTGGGGCCTCAGGGGTGGCGGAGGTGGGAGAAAGTCCACATAAAAATGGAACCATGTAGTTCAAACCTATGTTGTTCAAAGATCAGCTATATATCCAATTTCATCATTTAAAAGCTCTGATTGGTGCATAACGACAGTACATGGTTTTGCTAATATTCTTTTACTGCATAGCACAGTGCCATCTCTCTTCTAGTTTTCAGTAACATTCCTCACTTTCCTCTGAGCCCTCCCTCAGAGGGCTGAGGGCCTGAGCATCTTCAAAATCCAGTTTTCTAACAATTGGTTGAGGGGGATTTAGACTTTCACTCTTGTGCTTCTTCAAATCCTTCCAGCTTCTACTGACTTTCTGGTTTCAAAGCCAGTCACACTATTTTTAGGCGTTTGTTGCAGCAGCACACCATTTTCAAGTCCCAAACACTGTATTTGTTTTCTGTTGTGGGTGATAAAGTATCTCAAGGTTTCCTTGGGTCAGGAGTTTGGACACGGCTTACCTAGGTTCTCTGCTCAGGGGCTTCACTAGCAAAAATCAAGGTTTTAACTAGGGTTTGACCTCATATGAATCTCAGGGTCAATACACCTGGAGTTCACTTTTTGATTACTCATACCAGCTTTCTCTGAGTTCTTTGGATGCAAAACCAAGCAATTGCCACCTCTTCACCATTCCTGTAGTATTAGGGTATGTTAGGACTCTCGGTTTCTGATTTAATGATACTGAACATGTAAGTATGAAAGTAATGATAATCAAAACCATCCATGTTGTAAGAATTGGGCATTGAATTGAAAAATAATTAAAATTAAATACAAATAAATAAAAATTAGAAGTCATTATAACCACATATGTGATAGTTAATTTGTTCATGAATTAATAGGTGGCTTGTTGCTGATCCAATATCATGTTAGAAATACTTATTTAAGGTTAAACAGCATTAAAATATCCAAATTTATGTGCAGTTTAACATTACAAACACAACTTTTCACATGGAGGATTGCCCTTTCTGCTGTTTAAATTCAGTTATTGGAATGCTGAATAAAACCAAGTATAGTAAAGATGGTTAGCAAATTACATGAGTAAATATTGGATGAAGAAATAGTTACTGGATATGAGTTTTCCTTGGAGGAGGACATGACTTCAGGAGAAAAGCTTACTTCAACAGACATTTTCTACATATTTTTTTTCTTATTGACACTCTTACAGAGAGCTTCTGATTTTTAAAAATAAAAACTTGAATTCTTATTTTTATTTGGCCTGGTTCTATAAAAATGCAATTAGAAACTTACAACAAAAGATTCTAATATTATGTTATTATGCTGCCACATAATATTAGGTTTTGCTGTTGTTATTTATGGACAACCTGTAGGGACTTTAGTTATTGTGATTATATTATAAACCTATAAATTGGAGAATGAATTGAAATGAAGAGCTCTGCAAAATAACAGAAAATTTTGAAGTACTGACCTATATAATAAATGAGAATACATTTTGTACAACTACGTGTATATTTTAACACATTCCTTCTCCAGTTAAGAGTGTACTTTATTATCATTTCAAGAGCTCAGACATGAAAATGAATACTGCTGAAATTTTCTGTAAAATAATTGTTGCATTTTAAAACATTAGGCACACACAGATTGATAAAGGAGACAAGATAGTGTGATTTCGAGTGAAGTGAAATATGTTTCTTAGTAGAAGTAAATATTATAAATTCTTTTTCAAAAGTATTTGAATGGATTGTTTCATCGCATTTAAATAAATGTGTACAATGCAGGAAATTGAATTGTTTATTGGTGACATTTCCTAATTGACAGAATTTTTATCAATATGCTAAGAACTATTACAACTTAATTTTCTTTTGTCAGATATTAAGCAGTTATATATGGAGACTGTATCACACTTAGAGTCAGAGCTGTGCATTGGGCTCTATGAACTGCACAGGGTGCTGCTTATCCTGTGATAGCAATAGAGCAATAGAGCCAAGATAAAATGATCAGCCATATGCTTTTTGCCTTATTTCCAAAGAGCCTATATTAACCTTAGCAGAAAATGTGAGCTATGTATAAATAGGTCCCCACATGCTTACACATGATTTTCCATAGAGTAGAATATTCTAATAACTCAATTTTTAAAATTATTTATTGGAAATCTTTGCTGCTTCTCACCCCAAATCATGTAAGCATGGGTTGCAGTATACATATTCTGCATTAGTTATGATTAACACCAGTTCCTAATGACAGCCCACCTGAACACTGTATCATCACTAGTTCCTGGAATTAAACTTGGAAATCAGTTACATCAGATATTATTTACCTCTTAGTTTTAAGAAGGTCATTTTGGAAAAGGTCCATGGAGGTGTTCTAGTAACCCTGAAGCTTATGAGTACTATGTGTTCTAATAGAATCTGAAAGTTTTGCCCTGATAAGTAGATAGAGGATGATGATGATAGATAGATAGATAGATAGATATAGATATAGATATAGATAGATTAGATAGATAGATAGATAGATAGATAGATACCACCAAGCTACTACAAATCTCGTTTTTCTCTTAGTACTTCCAGAACATCACAGCCCATTTCCTACTTTCCTCATCCTAGTGATTGCTATTTCTCATTTCCCTGACTTTAAAGGACTCAGTCCTTAAATTTCATTCCTAGCTAACCCCTTCCAGACACTTCAGACTCTCTTCAACTCCAGATTTTTTTCTCTTAGATACCAGTCATCTATCTGGTATCAGACATTTCTACTTTGATGAACATTGACACATCTTCTTCTGTCTTTATAGCATTTAGGATAACCTGATATACAATATGTATTTGCCTATTTGGATGTATACTTTTCTCTCGTCCACCCCTCCCAGCATTCCCAAAATAAAAGTACCATGAGGGCAGTGTCTTTTGTCTCTTTTGTTATGTGTTTTATTCCTAGTATAAATAATAATGTTTGGCACATAGTAGATACTCAATAAATAATTGCTGAATGACTGACATACTCCTAAAGTATTTGAGGCATCTGTTTGACCTCTGTAAGTGTAATTTTTATCAGTTTTAGGAAATAGAAATCGTATATCAAATCACATTGTCAACTAAGGACATAGTAAGCTGATTTGGGCTAAGAAGGTCAGAGAATAAGCATAATTCTTATGCTCCTGCTTTTGGGTTCTGAAAGGGATTATTATCTTCTGAGAACACATTTTTACCTCTTAGTTTTCTTCTTTTAATATTGACTTTCCAATGTTAACACTTCGATCCAATGAGCATTATGTTGTGTATACATACAACATATATATTATTTGGTATAATGCACGTAATGTATACATTAGGGATTATATTCAAATTTTAATTTATTGAAATATCTAATAGTCACAATTCTAGAACAATATATATTTTTTATTGATTTATAATACTCCCTTGTTAATCATATTATACTTTAGGTTATACTGAACCTTGTTTCTTGGATTTCTATTCTGATCTTTCATATTCTCTTTGTTTGAAAGTGCAGTAGTTATTAAAATCATAAAACATTAAAGTTATTAAAATAACATAAACATTTAATATTATATAAAATCACTAAAATAGTTTATATTTAAATTTTGACCATGTTTAAGGCATAATACTAAGTGTTTAAATAAATTGTAACACTGAAATTAAAACTTCTTTATGTCGTGACATACCAAGGTCAAAGAACAAGACTAAATTGCCCATATCTACATGGCTAACACGTGACGGAGCTAAAATTCTAACTGGACATAGTTTCAAAATGTCATGCCCTAAAAAGGAAAAAAAAAACTCGCAGTTCAAACTTCTCAAAAATTTATCTCTTCAAAAATGTATTTGCTCTCCAAACTCAGCTTTGTTTAATGTATGACATAATAAATATGTTTTAATTATGCATAGATTTTTATGTGTTGAATATGTTTTATATTTTTGTTTTATTTTTATGCAGGACTCAACCACAGCAATATGTAAGAAGAACACACACCAAACATTCCTGAAGTGATTTAAAAGGTAAAACTTATACTTTCTCTTATAAATTATTAATTTATAAATTTCTGCTAAAACATTTCTGTAATAAATTTCTGTTAAAATATTATAGAAATGTCAAAATTGTTGTCATAATTTCTCTTAAGGATCATCTAGAATTACACTGAATTATTTAGAAATTTAGCATCTTCTGTGTTTTAAAATCACTCTTTAAGAAACTCAACTTTTGTTTATATATGGGGGTACATGTGCAAGTTTGTTATATGGGTATATTGTACCCAGGTAGTGATATTGTACCCAGTGGTTTTTCAACCCATCCTCCCTCTCCTTCCCTCCCTCTTCCAGTGGTCTTCCATGTCTTTTGTTCCCTTATTTATGTCCATGTGTGCTCAATTTTAGCTCTCATTTATAAGCGAGAACATGTGGTATTTGTTTTTTGTTGTTGTTGTTGTTCCTGATTTAATTTGCTTAAGATTATGACCTTCAGTTCCATTCGCATTGCTGCAGAAGACGTGATTTTATTCCTTTTTTATGGCTGCATAGTATTCCATGGTGTATATGTACCACATTTTTTTTTTATCCGATCTTTCATTAATGGGCACCTAGGCTGATTCCATGTCTTTGCCATTGTGCCTAGTGTTGCAATGAACATACAAGTGCATGTGTCTTTTGGTATAAAGATCTATTTTCCTTTGGGTATATACACAGTAGTGCAATTGCTGGATTGAATGGTAGCTGTTTTAAGTTCGTTGAGAACTCTCCAAACTTCTTGCCACTGTGGCTGAACATAATTTACATTCTAACCAACACGAATAAGAGTTCTCTTTTCTTTACAGCCTTTCCAGGATCTGTCGCGAGTGTGGTAGCCAGTGTCATTCTTTTAGTTCCATGCTTAGTACTCCCTTAAGGACCTCTTGTAAGGCTGTTCTAGTTGAAATAAATTCCCTTAGCAATTGCTTATCTAACAAAGGTTTTATTTCTTCTGCACCTATGAAGTTAGTTTGGTGGGAAATAAAATTCTTGGTTGTATTTTCTTTTCTTTAAGAATGCTGGAAATAGGCTGGGTGCAGTGGCTCATGCCTGTAATCCCAACTTTAGGAGGATGAGGCAGGCTGATCACCTGAGGTCAGGAGTTCAAGACCAGCCTGGCCAATGTGTGAAAACCTGTCTCTACTCAAAATACAAAAATTAGCTAGGTGTGGTGGCACGTGCCTGTAATCCCAGCTGCTCAGGAGGCTGAGGCAGAAGAATCACTTGAACCTGAGAAGCAGAGGTTGCAGTGAGCCAAGATCGCACCACTGCACTCTAGCCTGGGCGACAGAGCTAAACTCCATCTCAGAAAAACAAAAAACAAAAAACTAATGCTAAAAATAGGTGTCAGTCTCTTCTGGCTTGTAAAGTTTTTGGTGAAATGTCTACTACTAGCCTCATGGGTTTCTGTACATGACTTTGTACATGATTTGACCCTTCTCTCTAGCTTCCTTTAAGAACTTTTTCTTTTGTGATGAACTTGGTGAATCTGATGACTATGTGCCCTGGGAATTTTCATCCTGTGTAGTATCTAGCTGAGCTTCTCTGTATTTGTTGGATTTACATGTCAACCTCTAGGGAAATTAGAGAGATTTTTGTGGACTATATCTTCAAATATATATTCAAGCTGCTTATTCTCTCCCCTTCACTCTCAGGAATGCCAATGGGTCATAGATTTGTTCTCTTTGTATAATCCCATATTGCTTGGAGATTTTGTTTAACTTTTTACATCCTTTAAAAATTGTTGTCTGACTGAGTTAATTCCAAAAACCAGTCTTCAAGCTCTGAGAGTCTTTCCTTGGTTTGGTCAATTCTACTGTTAATTCTTCTGATTATGTTATTAAATTCTTGCAGTGAAAAGTTCAGTATGGTTCTTTTCAAAAAAATGGTTATTACATCATTCAGCTCTTGGATCATTTTACTGGATTCTTTGGATCCCTTGGATGGGGTTTGAATGTTTTCCTGAATCTCGATGAGTTTCCTTAGCATCCAGATTTTGAATTTGGTGTCTATCATTTTAATTATGTCAAACTAGTTAAGTTCCATTGCTGGGGATCTAGTGGACATGTTTAGAGATAAGCAGACACTCTCACTTCAATTTCCAGAATTATTCTGCTGATTCTTCCTCATCTGGAAGAATTGGTGTTTCTTTACCTGTGGTGTATGTTGAGTATAGTTAGTTGGCTATGTTTCTGGATACTTTCAGAGGGCTAGTGCTCTGTACAAGATCTTTATGTGCCAGTGAATTCTTGTGCGTAGTTTCACAGGTGTGCATATTAGCAAGATAATTTTTGGTGTTGTAGTTTGGGATACGACCTAGTAGATGATACTTTAGTGTAATGGCTGGTAGCTAGGCTACGACCCCGCTGCATGAGATGGTTGCATGTAATCAGCCATCTTATCCTCCCAGCCCTAAAATTATTCTTTTAAGGAATATTATTTAACCTATTGTTTTCTCAAATGAATTAAACATTTTCTTATTGGTGCACTTTTTTTTTTTTTGAGGTGGAGTCTCGCTCTGTTGCCCAGGCTGGAGTGCAGTGGCACAATCTCGGCTCACTACAAGCTCCGCCTCCCGGTTCAGGCAGTTCTCCTGCCTCAGTCTCCCAAGTAGTTGGGACTACAGGCGCCCACCACCACGCCCGGCTAATGTTTTGTAATTTTAGTAGAGACGGGGTTTCACCATGTTAGCCAGGGTGGTCTCCATCTCCTGGCCTCGTGATCCGCCCGCCTCTGCCTCTTAAAGTGTTGGGATTACAGGTTTGAGCCACTGTACCTGGCTTGGTACAGTTTTTAAATGTCATAAGACATAGGACCAGCAAAGTTGCATTGACATTATGCCAACTTTTAGAGGTGTTACTAGAATTTTGTTGTAGTTCAAATGTAGAGATATAACTGTTCCTATTATAATCATTTACCTGTGTAAATCTGTTTTACTGATAATGTTTACTAACACAAAAGCCCTTATCATTGAATACCAACTAATTATAATAGGTGTCAATATTGAAAAATATAAATTGATAGTTGATAAAATATACCTTTCACTATTTTGATGAGTGATTTTTTTTTTGTTTTTTGTTTTTTGTTTGAGACAGAGTCTTGCTCTGTCGCCAGGCTGGAGTGCAGTGGCGTGATCTAGGCTCACTGCAACCTCCATCTCCTGGGTTCAAGCAATTCTCCTGCGTCAGTCTCATGAGTAGCTGGGACTAAAGGCGCGCGCCACCATGCTCAGCTATTTTTTGTATTTTTAGTAGAAAGGGGGTTTTACATGTTGGCCAGGATGATCTCGATCTCTTGACCTCGTGATCCACCCGCTTCAGCCTCCCAAAGTGATTAATATTTTTTATATACAGTTGCCTTGCATAATAAAAAACAGCTGCATAAGTATTTGAATTTTTATCCAAAAATGAAATATAAGAAAGCAAGTATTAAATCAAATATATTGTTTGAACTTACTTTGTGTAAAGTACACTTCATCACGCATATTCTATATAGTTTCCTAACTTTTTAGATTAGTATGTATATGTGGTATGGAATTCTCATTATTTGTATAAATGAAAAAAATTACAAGTGCTGGTATTGCAAAACATTAGATATTCTCAAATCAGATCTATTTTTTCATGTAATGTGCTCATTATTATTTTTGAACATTAATTTGAAATACGGATCTTTCCTTTTGGTAATATATGAAATGCAATGCAGCAACAGCAAAATATAAACCAAATTACAATCCATTCAATCAAAAGATACAAGGCCATCCACTTTTTAACTGTAGCTCCCTCCTGCCTCATCCCCCACCACTGCATGTTTCTTCAATGCTCCTCAAAATACTCCAACCTTGATTACATTACAAACTCTTAGCAAGGTTGAATGTTTCTATTACATAGGCTCAGAACATATCCCTATTGCAAATACAATTTTTTTGTCTGAAAATACTTTTTGGATGCAGGAAAACATGTTGTAACAATAAACAAGATATAAAAAGCATATTATGAAAGATTTTGTAGCATACATGGCTTAATTATCTAATCAATCAATCATGTTATTACAGATAAGCATAATTTTATCTATCGGTGTGAGCATTATTCTTCATTATGGCAAAAATACAGTGGGTGGGTGTGTTTTGTGAAAAAAATTGCATCAACCTTCCTGTCCCAGAATGCAAATGAAAAATTCATAACTTTAAAAATTAAAAAATTATGATTTATTATTAAATTATTTATTATGTTTAAATTTTACAGCACCATCCCTAAGTCTGTAGGTAATTGTACACAGAATTATATTTATACCAAACATTTTTTTCTGCATGTTAGAGCTAAGTTTCTTAGCACAATTTCAGAAGGGGTTATAGCAGAGCTTGTAGAACATCACAAATTTTATCTTACAAGTTAAAGCTCAGTTACCGCTCAGTTTTTATGTTAGTTCAAGTTTCCATGGCTTTAAGTCAAATTAACAGAGTTACATGCAATGTAAAGGGGAAGAATTTGATGACACTGTTCACTTACTGAATTTTTATCTAAATGCATTTGTCTGGCTGGGCGCCATTGCTCACACCTGTAATCCCAGCACTTTGGGAGGCCAAGGCGGGCGGATCACTTGAGGCCAGGAGGTGGAGGCCAGCCTGGTCAACATGGTAAAACCCTGTCTCTACTAAAAATACAAAAATTATCTGGGTGTGGTGGCATGCGCCTGTAATCCCAGCTACTCAGGAGGTTGAGGTAAAATAGCGTTCTTGAACCCAGGAGGCAGAGGTTTCAGTGAGCCGCAAGATGGCACCACTGCACTCCAGCCTGGGCGACAGAACAAGATTAAATCTCGAAAAAAAAAAAAAAAAAAAAAAAAAAAAAAGCCATGGGCCGTGGCTCACGCCTGTAATCCCAGCACTTTAGGAGGCTGAGGTGGGCGGATCACGAGGTCAACAGATCGAAACCATCCTGGCCAACAAGGTGAAACCCCATTTCTACTAAAAATACAAAAATTAACTGGGCGTGGTGGCGGGCGCCTGCAGTCCCAGCTACTCAGGAGGCTGAGGCAGGAGAATCGATTGAATCCGGGAGGCGGAGGTTGCCGTGAGCCTTGATCGCACGGCTGCACTCCAGCCTGGCGACAGAGCAAGACTTCGTCTGAAAAAAATAAATAAATAAAATAAAAAAAAAAATAAAATTGTCAGACTCCAACATTACTGAAACATTTTTAAAGGAAATAGAACAAAAACAAAACAAAACAAAATGTGGAAGAAAAGATTTTACACAAATTGTCTTTGTAAATTAAGCCCTAACCATGTCTTTATGTTGACTTTACATTAAATCTCACGTAATCTTTGGCTCTTTTAAGTTATTCTTGAAGTGGCATTGTAAAATATAACATTCTGAGAGCTTAAATATCAAGAGCGTTCAATCAGTGAAGACAGACTTGATGTTAATATCCCTGAAAAAGGAAATTTTTTTCTACTATTTTGGTTAGTCATGTTTGTAATTTTCATCTCAATTTACAACCTTAAAAAAAAAATCACCAATGTGGGAGCCAGCAGTTTCCTAGTTAAGGATGTGGGCTTTCGTTTCTGAAGAATGTTCACACTCTTCTTCTCATTTATAACCGATAACAGTAAATATTTCATCAAAATTTTCTCCAGACAAAAAATTCTCAGAAAGGCACATTTTCACTTTAAATTAATGATTGATTTGTCTTTACAATAGAATTCAAAAGATGCTTGTTAATTTTTTTAGCGAAGTAGAGCCATAAACTGCATTATAAGTTTTAAAGGAATAGGCCGGGCGCGGTGGCTAACGCCTGTAATCTCAGCACTTTGGGAGGCCGAGGCGGGCGGATCAGGAGATCACGAAATCGAGACCACGGTGAAACCCTGTCTCTACTAAAAATACAAAAAATTAGGTGGGCGCAGTGGCGGGCATGTGTAGTCCCAGCTACTCGGGAGTCTGAGGCAGGAGAATGGCGTGAACCCGGAAGGCGGAGCTTGCAGTGAGCCAATATCGCGCCACTGAACTGCAGCCTGGGCGACAGAGCCAGACTCCGTCTCAAAAAAAAAAAAAAAAAAGTTTTAAAGGAGTTAATAGTTATTTCATAATTTAAAAGACTTTCCCAAGTTTAGTAGGCAATTAAATAAAAAAATTTATTTATTTAAAAGAAATGAATGTCAGTACATAATTTATACAGGTTTATACTAAAAACTTACACTATTTTGATGAAGTTTTAAAAATAATTTAAAAAAATCACATAATGAATTTTGCTTGATCACATTATTTAATATTTGCTCTTCCCTTTTGTCTTCAGAAAAATGCTGAATACTAACATATCTATTTTTGTACAGTTGATATTAGAAACAAAGATAAATACTTCGCTGTACTTTTCCAATAATACTTTGTTTTTCTTTGTGTTTATTTCTATATGACTTTCTTAATCCAATAGGTATTCCCTATGTTACTACATGAAAAAATTAAGCCTATTGTATAACCTCACACTGCAATATGTAATAGGCTGTAATTCTGTAGTCATTAATATTTATTTAGTGCATCCAGTAAGTGATTTGTGTTTGTAAACTCATTTACTCCTCAAAATTACACTGTGATATAGGTGTGATTACTTTCTAGAAGAACTGTGGATAAAATTGAAATGGTGTTATTTTAAAATATCAACTGAAACAAAAATAATCATATTAAGTTCAACGTTCGCTTATGCTTGTATTTTTAAGTACAAAGCAGTGAAACTTGTCAAATGCCATCCAACAATCAGCATGGAGCCTCTGCCTGCAGAAGGTCACACAGGGTTGACTTATTTTTGTTTGGTTTGAACCTGGTAAAAACTCTGGTTTCTAGATAGAGTTGTTGAGAGGTATATACTCTGTTTCCTAAATAAGTAGCTCTGGAAATGGCATCAGAGAATTCTCTGTTTATGAGAAAAGTGGCCCTCAATTACTTCTGCTGCTGCTAGTTTGGGTGCAGAGGTCCATGGCAAGGAGAATTTGTGCTTGTGTCTTGGATGAACGTTTTCCCTTGTCACATAGCCATGGTAGATTTATAAAGACTTGTTATCCTCTGGGGGACAGAATCAAGCTGACAGCTTATGAGAAAGAATGTGATTATGCACTTTCAAGTATCTTGCACATTTGTTGATGAACAGTATTATTCATGTTGCTTAAAGTCAAGCATCTCTTTTTGCTTACTCAACAGTGTCAGCTGTTTGAAACATGTCTCACTGAAGAAATAACCCAGATCCAGTCAGCAGTAAATCTATCACCTCAGTATTTTAAGTCTTAACAAAATCTTCAATTTCTTTGAAAAGTAACCTTCTATGAGACTTCAAAAAAATTCACTGATCACACACTTCACATTTAATATAAATTAATGGAAAACTAGTGTGTGTTTATAAACAAATAATGTTTATATTTTTGGAAGATTGTAAAGTAAAATAATTATTTATTAGAAAAATGTGGATAGATATTTTAGCGGTATAGTCTTGTTTGAGCTAATTGCAAATTTTCTCATAAATTTTCTTGTTTCTAAATATGTGATCTTCCACTTTAATTAAAATTCCTTGTAACTTTTTCTACTACTAATTATTTAGCTACTATCTATTATTGACAAATCAGAGTGGCAAAATGTTTTGTTTTGAACTATTAGACTTGTCGTTTTCCTAAAAGTATATCTTTTTTTTTTTTTTTGATGGTCTCGCTCAGTTGGCCAGGCTGGAGTGCAGTGGCGTGATCTCTGCTCACTGCAACCTCTGCCTCCCGGGTTCAAGTGATTCTCCTGCCTCAGCCTCCCTAGTAGCTGGGATTACAGGTGATCGCCACCATGCCCAGCTAATTTTTCTGTTTTTAATAGAGACGGGGTTTCACCATGCTGGCCAGGATGGTCTCGATCTCTTGACCTCGTTATCCACCCATTTCGCCCTCCAAAGTGCTGGGATTCCAGGCGTGAGCCACTGTGCCCAGCCCGTCTTTCATTCATCTATTACAGAATACCAATTTCATCTTACCTAGTCTGCTGTCTTAACAACTGTAGTTAACTAACCATATCAAGGAAAGTGTCTTTACCATATTTATTTTTACATTTTACTTTTTTGCCTGCTCTGTTGAACCTGCCTTCCCCCAAGGCTAGTTAACATTACTTAGCAAAAGATAGATTCATATATACTAATTATATTGAACTAAGGAGGGAAAGTAATGAAGGGCCAATTTTATAGAATATACCTCCAAAAATACTCATGGAGTATCAGGAGGCTGAGATCTGATGAGGGGTAGGGAAGGAACAGCATCTTTATTCTTGGTCCATTTGCATGAACTGGTTTATAGGATTAACAAAATGTTAGGCTGCATGGTTGGGAAGGCATTAATTGTGAATGAATGAACTGTGGTTGATATGGCTCCTGTGGATGAGGAGATGGGAGAAACCCAGAAAGAAGGATATCAGGGGTGAGCTGAGCATGAGGAAAAGAGCTGAGTGGCCAGGAGTTGTAGTAGCTGATTAACCTATCATGGGATGTTGCCTTGATTTTGAAAATCAAGGAAAGCAAGATTTCTCAAATTCTAGGTATTTTCATGTTATGCATAAAAATATGAGATGCCAATTTCAAACCAATTTATTATGTGATTTGGATATACACTTTCATTTAATATTTAGAATAATCCAGTTAAACAGGTATCATGTTTGTTTTATGGATGAGGAAACTAACTTGATTAATTGTGAGTTCTTCTGGAACTGATTCCTTGCTCTTAACCATCATGAATGTGGGATGTATATAGTTTTATTCACCCATAAATGCATCATGGTTGAGGTGATCTGGTAATCAAAGCCATTGGTTTCTTCTTAATTATTAATACATTATCATCTTGCTTGCATTTTTACTTCCTGCATTTTTCTCTCAAGTAAAATAGAAGAAATCCTATTTCAAATACCTTCAAAGCATGTTCAAAATGTTGCTTCTTTATGAATTTTTTCCTGCCAAGAGTTTTATACCTTTGATTAAATTCTCAACAGATCTGCTATTTAAAAGAGTTTCGAATAAATAAAAACAACAACAAAGGGATAGACACAAATCATACTGAAATATGGATCATTTGGAAAACACAGCTGTGTTTGTAACTGGTTTACTAATTACAGTAAGCCATCATTGATATACAAAAATAATGAATAGTCACTAGAATAAAGTTTGTGCAACTGAGAGAGGATTTTTATAAGGTGGTTTTATAAAAGAATAGCATGGCCTCTGTACATATTTTCTGACTTAATTTCTGTGTATTTAATTTGATACATTATATAATTAACTCAAAGACAAACTGTGCAGTAAGTAGTTGTTTGGTCCTACTACTTTTGTATTTAGCAACACCTTATGAATCTGTAGATAACATTTTCCATAATTTTATATGCTACTGCTTGCTTCTCTTTCCACAAATTGTGGTAGTCTTTCTTCAGCTAGCCATCAATCAACATGGTCCTCCATTAAAACAAGGACAATAATAATCACAACATCTCAGCATCACACTGTCCCTTTCTGCTTAAGGGCTTACAAAGCAAAAATCATGTTAACATTAGCTCTTGCTACATTAGGTATATATTACTCCCTTCTGAAAATCTGTATCATAGCACAGTTAAGATTAAAAGCTACTTAGACCATACTTTCCAAGGAGTGACAACAAATACTAAGGATTTCTGTGCTACAATAGTGCTCTACAGGTTTTTATTGTGCATTATATGCGTGTTTTTATGTGTGGTATGGTGTATTTTAATAGGGGGCACTGACTTATCTCAAATCATATCCTTCAACTTTATGAGCATTTTTGAGTAATTACAATGCCAAGCTCTGTGCCAGGCACTGCAATTTAGGTTAGTGATCTCTTTGATTGTTCTCAAAATCTGATAAGAAAGGTATTACTTTTCTGATTTCTTCAGAGAAGAACTTATTAAACAACTCAATCTAGATCAAGTGGGCATTCACACTCAGGTTTTCTGGCTATAATTTTAGAACCTTCTCTCGTATCACAACTGGGCTGTTTGACAGCTATTTTCTTTTTGCCTTACCCTGTGCTGTAATTCCTGTTGTACCTCAATAAATACATTGTTTTTCATAATATTTGTTCTTGGATTTGAATTCAGGCATATTTATGGGGATATAAAAATGATTTAGAACCTCTTTTGATACAGCTTCACTCGCTTCAAACTGGAATGTGCTACAATATAATGCCATCTTTTTCAACATTATTTCAGAAATGGTGTATCCAGATTGTTTTGTATGAAGGTAAAATAAAGTTTGGGTCTAATTCCAGTGTGAAAGAGGGTTTTATTTATTAAGCCTGCTCTGCAAGGAAAAGAAAAGCCATTTTATAGAACTGAGGACATATCTACTAAAAAATGGCTGTTAGCTTCTGATTTAATGCAACTCTTGGGTGCCAGTAAATCAGCAAGAGGGATACCAAGTCAAATATAAGATTTTTAAGTTTGGAGGTTTCTTGTGAACTATTATTTTTTGCAGTTAAACTCAGACATTAAATCTGTTGTTTAAAGGCTGAATAGAATAAAGAAAAGACAAACTAGATATGTCTGTTTCTTTCTCTCTCTTTCCTTGATTTAGGAGATTGTTTCACTAGGATCTTTATTTATCTTACTGGCATATAATTTTTCAAGTTGAATGCAGAGGAAAAGACATTACAAGCAACAACATGTATTTGATAACAAAATAATACATTTTGTCAAATCACATACAATTCAAATTTTGAAAATCATAAACTGTCAAGACAACATGTAATATTTTCAACTATTTATCATAATCATACTTTATTACTTTATTTTTATGAGTCCAAAACATGAAATTGTCAATTTTTTAGGCTTAAGTTATTACTTAAATTTTTAAAAACAAACCAATAAGAAGTCAAGATTTTTTGAGAAATTTGGAAGAGGAGGGTTTGTTCAAATATATTTGGTTGTTCTTTTCTACTGTTGCAATGATGAGGTTAGTTCAATATGGGCATATGGTCATATGAGCTGGAGACATTGAGTTCAAGACATTGCTGGACAACGATGGCAACGAATTCTCATCATTACAAGATGATAAGTCTAATAATCTCCCTGCAGAACTCATTATGATGTCAGAAATAGTTTTTTGAACAGAACAAAATGTGTAGCTCATGCTTTTGTGTCACTGCTTTCTTTGACAGTCTTATTCTGAAAACTTCTTTATCACATTAAGTTAGATCATGCAACATGAAATTTCAAACATAAAATTCAGCCACCTTCAGCGGAGGTTGTTATAAAATCATTTGTATGTGACAACTTTTTGTTGGTGATATTTATTTGTCTTTTTCAATCATATGTTAAAATCATAATATTTGGCATATATATCTTCTAAGCAAAATATATAAATACTATGTAATACTCAATATTTCAATCAGTCTTCATACATTTTTAACTCAGGAATGTCAAAAATTTTCAACTGAAAGTCCAGAGGTCTGAGCATACAGATCTGTCTGCATTTTGACTCTTATGAGCTGGGTGACCTTGTGTAAATAGTGTACTTTTTCTGGGCCTCTGATTCATTCATTATATGATAATTAGTGGTGGGACTGAAGTGGAGGTTCCCAAGTGCCAATCCTTGAGCTAGTGCCTTTCCATTATAAAGTTTCACTAGTCTAGGCTACAATGATAAATATAATTGCTGGGTTTATTGTAATGTATTTTTTTCATTTATGAGTTATGCTTTTATAATATTTTAAAACATTAAATTGTATAATCATAAAAGTTCAAAAGACCATAATAAAAAAATTGGCTTTTTGGGTGGCTAGGACTCTTTTTTGGAACAACATAAATGTAAACATACATTTTGGAGACAAAGATATTTCTATTTCACAGCGAGCTAGATGATAACATAGAATCACTGATGATTTTATTAAATGTAATAATGGTGTCATACTGTTCATCATGTGAAAAAATGTCTTTGTTTTCTAGTGATTCATGCTAATTTATTTAGATATAAATTTCTTGATATATAGGTTTGTTATAAAATAATTTGTTAAAATATGTGAATAAAACATATTTGCCACAATATTCAGTTAAATCTGAATTACAAATAGAATGTGATTGTCCACTAATAATCCTTTATGTAGGATTTTGCTGCTAATTGACTGCCCAAATTGGGACTAGTTAGGTAACTTTACAAAGTTATAACACATTAAATGTGAACAAAAGTGAGATGTCCTCTTCCAGGCACAGCCTATGGACAACTCCTATGCCTGTTTCTCCAGGCAGCTTCAAATTCTGGCTATCTAACTAGAAGAGAGACTACACCCAGGAAGACCTTAGAATCCATTTATTGAATAGAACAAAGCTTTTGATACACTGATTCCCTGAGCCACTGGATAGAAGAGGGCTAACCCACATATCTACTTACTTGCCCAATACTTTCATGTGAGCAACAATTAAACATGAATTGTATTTGAACCATTGTAAGATTTAGAATTAATCTTACTACAAAAGCTGACCTTATCATAAGTAATACAGTGATGATTGTTTTCTTGCTTGATTTCAATGAAGAATTTACTAAAAATGGCAAAGTAGAATGGTTTCAGTTTGAAAGACAAGAGAAAGATTAGGTCAGAAATAAAGCATAGAATATTTAAATATTGTTATGGGATCATGTTTTGCTGTCTACGCAGCTTCAGTGGATTTTTCTAATTAAAAAATGGTTTTAAAGCAAACACAACTGTAAAAAAAGCTTTTCATAATATCTTTATTTGTGAAAATAGACTGGTAATTCTTGGATAGCTAGTCCATTTACATATATATATATATATACATATATATATATATATATATATTTTTTTTTTTTTTTTCCCTCAATGAAACCCAAAACCTAGAATCAGCCTTAAAAGTGGGGGAAGAAATCCTGTCATTTGGGACAACTTGGATGAATCTGAGAGACAGTATTACAGAAATAAGCCAGGGACAGGAAGACAAATATCATATGATCTCATTGATATGTGCAATCTTTAAAAGTTGAACTCATAGAAGTATACAGTACAGTGATGGTTACCAGAGGCTGCGGGCTGAAGGAGTGGACAGGGAAAAGGGAGATGTTGTAATAAATAATAATGCATTGTATATTTCAAAAATGCTAAAACAGTACATTTTAAATGTTTTTGCCGCAACCAAATGATAATCACGTTAGGTGATAAGTTTGTTTATTATCCTAATTTAACCATTCCACATTGTAAACATATATCAAAATATGATTGTACCTCATAAATATATACAATTATTATGATATTCAGAAAAGAATAAAATTTAAAAAACTTTTATTTCCATTGTAAAGTTATATTTTACATCTCCTCATAATTTAAAACTCATCCAACCAAAACTTTACAGGAGAAAATTATTGTTTTTAATTTTGCCTTTATTTATCCTATGTGTACTTGACACGTGTTGTAGCTTTCATTTCCTCAACTTTTTATGCCTATTTTTTCCAGAAATCAGATTTAGCTGCAAATATTGAGAGTTTGCACAGTGCCTCTGACTAAGCAATATATATATATATATACATATATATATATTTTATTTTATTTTATTTTTTTTTTTTTTGCGACAGGGTCTCCCTCTGTCGCCCAGGCTGGAGTGCAGTGGCGCAATCTTGGCTCACTGCAAGCCCCGCCTTCCGGGTTCACGCCATTCTCCTGCTTCAGCCTCCCGAGTAGCTGGGACTACAGGCGCCCCCCAACCACGCCTGGCTAATTTTTTGTATTTTTAGTAGAGATGGGGTTTCACCATATTAGCCAGGATGGTCTCCATCTTGTGACCTCGTGATCCACCCGCCTTGGCCTCCCAAAGTGCTGGAATTACAGGCATGAGCCACCCCACCCGGCCGATTTCTATATCTTAATACATATATATTCATCTCTGAAGAGTTACAAATAATCATCCTTGTGGAGGTAGAGCCTCACGTTTGCCATCAGAGCACCTCTGCAACATCATCCCTAAGTCCATAGAGCTCTTTCAGCCATTAACCCAAGCATGTGCACACATACACACTCACACCATGGTCAGGCACTCCACCAAGCCTCTCGTCTGCTGTTAGGACTGGCGTAATATGAAGAATATATGCTTGAAGCTAGGTTTTGATGTCAGAGAGATCTGAGGCCTGGGTTCAAACCCCAGTTCTAGTAATTATTTGCTGCTAAAGTTAAGAAAATTATGCCTAGTCTCACCTATTTATAAAAAAAGTTGTTTTGACACTTTTACAAGAAGTTAATAACGTAATACTTGACACATATTAAGGAATTCCATAAATAAGACACTTTTTTATATTTGTGTTCATATCCATTACACAGAGGAAGACTGTAAATACAATGTTTTGTTTTCTCATATTTTTGAAATGAGGATAAATGCTTTGAAATTGTTCTAATTTGGTAATTTATTTACATAAATAAAAAAAGAAAAATATAATAATTGCCATTTTCACCATTTGATGAATATATAAATCTGTCTGTAACTCTACTCTTTTAGCTTTATTCATGTTTTTTCTATATCATCAAACTTTTTCAGAATACATTTCTCTTCCTAAGGTGGTCTCTGTTCCTAAGGTGCAGTGGTTCTTTTTTTTCCCACCCAAATAAGCAGCAAAAATAAAAAGCAGAACTTGAGAATAAAACATTAGCTTACTGAGCCTTTAATAGATTATACATCCTCAGTGCTCACTGGGTAGAGCGTCTAGCTATGTAAGAAAGCATGGCTTTAATGAAACTTTACAGATATTAAAATAGATTCAAGAAGAAAAGAGAATAATTAGGAACTATTGTGAATATTTTGCTTTAGAAAGAATATATTTCAAAATATGTCTGAACTATACATTCAAATATTATTGCATACTTGCAAGTCTTGAAGCAATGCATTTAAAACAGAATTGAAAGAAGGAAGTAATGAAATTTTGCTGAGGTATGTATAGAATTAGTAATCTATCAAGTCTGGTCTTTAATACTTTTAAAAATACATGTGTGATGCATTCTTCAAATTTATAAAATTTAGAAAATAAATTTATGCACACAGTTTTCAGCCTATAAAAAACTATCATATATTTTGTCTCAATTGATACTTACAGTATGAATCAAAAATCATATTTTGATTTTTTGATCAAATCAGTTTCTAATTGCCAACTTTTTTTTAGTACTGCTAAAATTTAATTTGATAAAAACTAATGTATTAAGTCTAAACTTGGATATCCACTATTGTTTTGTTTTCCTTTAGCATTAGTAATCATATTATTCTTTTTTTTTAATTATACTTTAAGTTCTAGGGTACATGTGCACAACATGTAGGTTTGTTACATATGTATACGTGTGCCGTGTTGGTTTGCTGCACCCATTAACTCATCATTTACATATTATTCTTAACTATTTTTGTCTTTTTTGTTCTAAAATACATATATTATCTTCTAGTACATATTTTTCTATTATGCCACTTCAATTTAGTGTAATTCACTTAGTAAATTTTCCTTTTCGGAAGTCTATATTCTCTGTTTATTTTTTTTTTATTTCAACACTTTTTTACCTCATAACATGTGTGCATCATTGTAGCCAGATAATAATTTCTTAAGGCCCAGATCCAGGAGACTCTTAATTAAACAAAAAGCAAGCAACAGTGGTAGAAGTTAATAGAAGATAAAGATACATTTTGAAAGATTGTCAAGCATCTTCATATTCTCACTTAACTATAAATATTTTTAACATTATTAAAGTATTATTGACATGCATAAACTAAAAAATATTGAGAGTGCAAAATGTGATGCAATTTGAAATAAATATAGACATGAAGTCATCAGCACAAAGTAGTATATATTTTCACTATCTGAAAAAGCTTCTTTTATTTTGCAATTCCTTCTTTCATAATCCTTTCTGCCTCTCATCTCCTTAACCTGTGTCTGGTAATATAAATTACTTTGCATTTACCGGAACTTCTTTATTTATTTAATTTTTTGTTTTTTGGAGATGGAGTCTTGCTCTGTCACCCAGGCTGAAGTGCAGTAGCATGATCTTGGCTTGCTGCGACCTCTGCCTCCCGGGTTCATGCCATTCTCCTGCCTCAGCCTCCCAAGTAGCTGGGACTACAGGCATCCGCCACCACGCCCAGATAGTTTTTTTGTATTTTAGTAGAGATGGGGCTTCATCGTGTTGCCCAGGCTGGTCTTGAACTCCTGAGCTCAGGCAATCTGCCTGCCTCGGCCTCCCAAAGTTCTGGGATTACAGGCATGAGCCACCACACCCGGCCTACTGGAGCATTTTATAAATAGAATTATTCAGTATATACTGTTTTTTCCCTAGTTCCTTGTGTTAAGCATCATTATTACTTAGATATATCCATATGATAGCATGTATCAATAGTTCATTCTTTTTATTGCCAAATTATATTCCATTTATTTCACTTGGAAAACCAAGTATACCACAGTTTAATTGGAGCATAGTTTTCTTAGCATGTATCTATCAAGAGGTATTTGAGTTGCTTACAGATTTTTCCCATGATAAATAAACAGCTCTAAGCATTACTAGCCTTTATATGGAAATATTCATAGCCTTTATATGGAAATATTCATAGCCTTTATATGTTTAATCACAGCATAGTTTTTTGTTTGTTTGTTTAGCATGCATCTATCAAGAGACATTTGGATTGTCTACAGTGTTTGCCTATGTCTAATAGAGCAACTCTAAACATTCATAGCCTTTATATGGCCACATACTTTCTTTTCTTTTGTGTAAATGCCAAGGAGTGGAATAGCTACATCATATTTTTAATATATGTTTAACTGCTTTTTGAAGTGAATATACCATTTTACATCTCCACCAGTGGGGTATGAGAGTTCAAGTTTCTGTACAATTTTGTCAAAACTTGGTATGTTAGATCTTTTCAACTTTAGCCCTTTTAACAGTTGTAAAAGTATCTCGTTGCAGTTTTATTTTGTATTTTCTTAACAATTAATCTCATGTGCATATTTGCCTACATATATCTTCTTTGGAAAAATGGCTGTTCAAATTATTCCCGAATTTGTACTGGCTTACTTCCTTATGAAGCTGAGATTTCTATTTAAATTCTGAATACAAGTTCTTTCTAAGAAAAATGGTTTGCAAATAATTTCTCTCAGTTTATCACGTGCTGTTTGATTTCTTGTCATATATCTCAGATAGATACATATAGAAATTATATTATTTTGAAGTTGAACCTTATATATCTTTGCTTCACCCAAGATCACAACCATTTTATCTTATGTTTTATTGTGGGAGGGTTGACGTAGGTTTTCCATTTATGTTTATGACCCTCTTTGAGTTAATTTTTGTAAGGTTCAAGATATAGATCGATTTTTTTCCTAGAATTGTTTGTTACAATGATTACCATTTTCCAGTAATTGTCTTGGCATGTTTGTCAAAAATCAATTTCCCATATATAATTGCACCTATTTAGGCTGTCTGTGATGTTCTATTGATCTATTTGTGTTTATGTTTATGCCAATACCATAGTCTCTTATTTAATGTAGGTTAATAATAAATCTTCAAATCAGATAGTGTTATTTTTCTTTAGTTTTGTTATAGTTATTATGATTTGACTATTCCATATTCTTCAAATTTTCATGTGAATTTTATTTTTAGTTTGCCAGTTTCTAGGAAAAGTTTACTTGAATTTCAATTGGAATTGTGTTGCATCTGTAGATGAACTTGTGAAAAATTGATATCTTAAACGTGTTACATCTGACACAGGAGCAAGGTTTTGCTCTCATTTTATTTAAGTGTTATTTAATTAGTCTCATCACTGTTTTATAGTTTTTATAGTACAGATATTTTATATATTTTATCAGATTTATCCTTAAATGCTTCATATTTTTAATTTCGTTATAAATGGCAAGACATTTTGTGTTCTGAGTCTTTGTTGATATCACAAAATAAATGGATTTTCTTTGTGTTTGATTTTATATCTTGCAAATTTACTTGTTATTAAGTATACTACTTTTTTATAGTTTCAATCAATTTTTCTACATGGATAATCATTTCACCTGTGGAAAAAAATAACTTTTTATTTCTTCTTTTCTAATTTGGTTGCCCAGTATTCTTTTTCTTTCTTTATTTAATGGGCAAGAAACCCCTGTACACTATTGAATGAATTAATGAGAGCAAATATACCCCGCTTTTTCCTCTTCTTAGGGTGAAAGAAAAACATTGTATCTTTCACCATGAACTATAATTTTTCTTTTGGCATTTTGTAGATGCCCTTTGTCAGTTTGCTGTAGTTCTCTTCTATTTCTAATTTCTTGAGAATTTTCATTAGGAATGTATAGTGGGTTTTATTAAAGCCCCTTTATAAAAAACTATATTGAGCTTTAGTAGTTTGTTATATGTAGAGTATCATTTTGATTGATTTTTTTCTGTGAGAAATCTAGCTTGCATTCCTGAAATAAGCTATCTTTATCTTAATGCACTGTCTTTTCTTTTCTTTCTTTTTGTTTGTAAGAGCTATAGGATTTGATTTGCTAGCATGTTATTTGAAACTGTTATATTTGATTTGTAATATCAGTGTCTGGTAATATATGTGTCTGGTGATATATTTGTCAAGGTAATACCTGTCTCATAAAATAAACTGAGGAATAATCACTCTCAAATTCATGGAAGAGTTTGTGTAGTATTTGTTTGATTTCTTCTTACAATATTTGGAAGAATTAACTCGTGAAACCTGTGTCTAGATTTCCTTTGTTGAACTTTTTAAATGCAAATTCAATTTGTTTAATAGATATTGGGACGTTAAATTCCTTGATTTCTTCTTCTAAGATATTTGGTAGTTTCTGTCTTTCATAGAATTTGTTTATTTAATCCAAATTCTTAAATTAATTGACATATAATTGTTTGTAGTATGTCTTTTTGTTGTCCTTTTAATAACTTCAGTGATGCCATTATCTCATTCTTGATATTGGCAATTTGCAACTTGTCTTTTTTCCCCATATCAATATAGTAGTATATAAAGAAAATCTTGATTGCTTTAACCTTTGAAACATAATATTTCTGGGTATAGGATTCTTGGTTGGATTTTTTTCTTTCATTACTTTAAAGAAACATTAGTTGTATTTCTTCTTTTTATTTCTCTGTAATTAGCATGTATATTTTATCCAGCTGCTTTTATTTATTTATCTTCCTTTAAATTTTATTTATATATTTATTTATTATTTTTTTCAAGTTTTACTTTAAAATCAGGGTATACATGTACAGGTTTGTTTCAAAGGTACATTGTGTGATGCTGAGGTTTGGAGTACAAATAATTCTGTCACCCAGGTAGTCAGCATAGTACCCAACAGGTAGATTTTCAACACTTACCCTCCTCACCTCTTGTATGACCCAGTGTCTACTGTTCCAATTTTTGTGACCAGGTATACCCAATGGTTAGCTTTCAGTTGTAAGTGAGAACATGTTTCTGTGTTAGTTCACTTAGGATAATGGTTTCCAGCTGCATCCATGTTGCTGTGAAGGACATGATTTTGTTCTTTTTATGTCTGTGTAGTATTCCATCATGTATATGTACCATATTTTCTTTATTCAGTGCACCATTGATTTGCTATTACAAACAGTGCTGTGATGTACATACAGGTATGTGTGTCATTTTGGTAGAACAATTTAATTTTCTTTGGGTGTATACCCAATAGCAGGATGCTGGATCAAATGGTAGTTCAATTCTCAGTTATTTGAGATATCTCCAAACTACTCTCCACACTGACTGAATTAATTTAGGTTCCCACCAATAGTGTGTAAACGTTCTCTTTTCTCTACAGCCTTGCCAACATCTGTTCCTTTTTTATTGTTTAATCAAAGCCATTCTGAATGGTGTGAGATGATCTATCATTGTGGTTTTGATTTGCATTTCTATAATTATTAGTGATGACGAACATTTTTTCATGTGTTTGTTCGTTGTTTGTATGTCTTCTTTTGAGACGTGTTTGTCATGACCTTGGCCCACTTTTTAACAGGGTTATTCATTTTTTGCTTGTTGATTTGCTTAAATTCATTATATTCTGGATAATAGGCCTTTGTTAAATTCATATTTTGCAATGTTTTTCCTATTCTGTGGGCGGTCTGTTTACTCTGTTGATAGTTTCTTTTGCTGTCCAGAAGCTCTTTGGTTTAATTAGGTCCAAGCTGTCAACTTTTGGTTTTGTTGCAATTGCTTTTGAGAACTTAGCCATAAATATTTTGCCAAGGCCAATATTGAGAAGGTCATTTCCTAGGTTTTCTTCTATGATTTTTATATTTTGAAGTCTTACATTTAAGTCTAAAATCTATCTTGAGTTAATTTGCTTATATGGTGATATGTAGGTGTCCAGTTTCATTCTTCTGTGTACAGATAGCCATCCAACTGTTTTTAATATGTTATCTTTATTCTATTTTTTAAATTTTATAATATAGGACTTCTAGACTTATTCTGCATTTTAAGTTCATGTAGATTGGATACCGCCCTTGCAATGTAATGTAGACTGAATACTTTCCCCAATTGCAGTTTTCTTCATGTTTCTTGTGACTGGGATATGTTAAGATTCATCATCTGCGGTTTCATAATTTTCATCAAATTTGGAACCTTTCTGTCTGTGTTTCTTCAAACATTGTTGTCCCCATGCCCATCCCTGTTCTTTGGGCTTTCAAATTATATACACAATAGCCTGCTTAAAGTTGCTCTACAGAATTTTTTTTTAATTCTGTTTTTGTGTGTGTTTAATTTGGGAATCATCTTAGTCAGTTCATGCTGCTATAACAAATTAGAGCAGAATGAGTGACTTAAACAATAAACATTTGTTTTTCACAGTTCAGGAACCTGGAAAGTCCGAGAACAAGGCTGCAGCAGATCTAGTGTCTGCTCAGGGCCTGCTTTCTGGTTTACAGATGGCCATCATCTTGATATATTTTACACAGTGGAGAGAAGAGACAGGAAGCATGCTCTCATGTCTCTTCATATAAAAGCATCAATCACATTCATGGGAACTGATGATCTGGAACATAGGTTGAAGAAATTATAAAAAATGCATCGTTTAGAGATAGAATGATAGGTAGTATAAAAAAGTGGTTATGACCAATGGAGAATTTGATGATTAGGAATAGACTATGATGAGTAGGAATGCCACAGGAGGTATTAGAGAGAATATGACTGAAGAAATATTCAAGAGAAAATGAATAAGGGTTTAGCCCAGGTATCTATGGGTTGCTTGGATGATCCTGCTTATTTGAACTAACTCTCCTTATTTAAACTGGTCACACTTATGCATCTATGGTCATCCAGCGGCTTCACTGGGAACTGGGAATTGGCTGGTGTAGGACTGCCTCACTTGAAAATATTCTTTTTTTCTCCCCATTTCTCTTATACCATTGCAGAATGAAAGTGTTGTTATTATGGTACATGTGAGTTTGGGAAAAAAGAGAGAAACAGAGAGAGAGACTAAAAGTTCTCAAAGATTTTTGAAGTCTAAGTCATACCCTAAACAATGTCACTTCCACTATTTTCCATGGAATAAAATAGACCATAAGCCAGATCTGATTCAAGAAGGTGATAAATAGACTTCACATTTTTACAAGAACACTGCAAAATTAAAATATGATTATAAAAATTGGGGCAGGAGAGAATTATGTTTAGTTTTTCAATTTATCTGTCACTAAGATGTTTCAGATTAGTAAAACATAATGAAATACCAACAGATATGATAACAATACTATGGAATACCAGGTTTGAATACAATAAAGAAAATAAATTCATTCTTAAATAAATACACATGCAAACACACACACACGCATGTCTGTGTGTGTATATGTATATACATGCGTGTGTACATATGTGTGTACTGAAAAACAAAATTTGTAAATAGCAAATTAGCAAATAGGAACATTACATACAATGTATAGTGTATTTCTCATTAGAAAAAAGAAAACAGAAGAAAATAGAATATTATTTATAGTGCTAACTGACTGTATCTGTCAATATAGACTATCAGTCTAGCTAAGATTATCATTATATATGACAGAGTAATATATAAAATTTCAAACTCTTTTGGTATGATATTCTTACTGAAAAAATAATGAAAAATTTAAATAGGAGAAAAACAGTGTAAGATACAAAGCGTTAAACTCATAAACCTCTGAATAATCATGGATTATAAAATGTTTGTACATTTAAATATGTTTTTCACTAATATATAGTAAATGTATATTACTCCTTATGAGAATACTTATATACTAATATAATATTTAAAGTATATACATTATATATATATTCAGATACACAGGGCTAGGGGAATTAGAGTTGAAATATAATAGTAATATGAAGAACAAGAAAGCATAATTTGAGGAAAATGTTCTGAGTTTCTTAGAAGAAAGCTGTATATATTAACTTCAGGATTTTTAACATCATCTGGATTAATCAGGTTTCAACTTCTTTATTGTTATTGCAACCTATAAGACATATATTCATTTTTTACTGAATAATCTGGTTGGCTATTTGACAATTACATACCTGTAAAATAGCCCTTGGGAACTAAAATGGAATACTCTTTCTCAAAGTCAAAATTATAAATAGAGTAGTCACATATTCCTCAGCCAAAGCCTTTTGTTTGTCATGAGTGAATAATAAATGTAGCATATATGGTTAAAGATAACTTTCAACTATTGCATAAATTATAAAAAAGGTTTCAAAATAAAAAATTCTATTTTGGCTATATTTTCTTCTTAAAAATTGTCTTCACATGCCTATAAAATATATCAATGTGGCATGTCTTTGTCTCAATATAACTTATATAAATAAGTCAGAAGCAGACTACATGCCGTCTGGCATGGTGACAGATACAAAGAAAAAAATAATGACTTTTGATGGTAAAAACAGCAAAGGGGGAAGAAATATTTGATATATCTCAGAGAATAAGTAACTTCAAAAATTTGTGTCCACATTCTAAACTAAAAATAACTCTAATGGCAGTTTGACAAAGCCTAATAACTGTAATTTAAAGTTAGATACTAATGTGTTTCTTTCCTTTATTTTCCAACATCGCACAGTTATGTATCATAGTTATGTTTATTTCAAATAAGTAGGTTCAGCCTTTCTCTTCAAGAACCCATTGCCTGAGGATTTAAGTTCATAAGGTAATGAAACATATAGATCATTTGTGACAGCATGAAAAATTATCAAATTCAATCCACAAACTGCCTTCTTCTTAGATTCAGTCTACAAGCAAAGGTCAACTATAGAGTCCTTCTTAAAAAAAAAAATAAATAGAAACCCTAAAACAAAGCTAAAACAAAAATGTGAGGAATGAAACAATCTTTCAAATATTTTAGTGAAATCAATTTAGAATTGCTTCGCTTGTTTTGCTCTTTTCTCTTAAAGACAGTGAAGTTCTTGTATTTATATTTGGTAAAAAAATATTAGAAGAGTTTGAGTGTTTATTTTATTAAGCTAGTATATTAATTTTACTCTTTACATTCTAGCATCTATTATTTTAAACAATAGAAATCTATTGATTTAGCTTTAAAAGTTACTATTACTATAATTTTAATTTTTATAGTACAGACATTCATGTATTAAAATTACGATATTGAAAAAGATTGTATTGTCTTAATCTGAAACCAATAAGCCAAAGTGATTTTATTTATTATCAGTAAACATTGATCTGGGAATCAGAACACATCTTTTTGTTACCATTCAGCTTTGCAATATTTTTAGTTTACACAATGTCTCTAGACCTTATTTCAAAATTTGTAAAACGATGATATTATCCAGTGATTTCTTTGTTTCTTTTCTTTTCCTTTCTTTTCTTTTCTTTTCTTTTTTTTTCTTTTTGAGATGGAGTTTCACTCTTGTTGCCCAGGCTGGAGTGCCAATGGTGCGATCTTGGCTCACTGCAACCTCCGCCTCCCGGGTTCAAGAGATTCTCCTGTCTCAGCCTCCTGAGTAGCTGGGGTTACAGGAGCGCCACCCCACCCTGCTAATTTTTGTATTTTTAGTAGAGACGGGGTTTCACCATGTTGGTCTCGAACTCCTGACCTCAGGTGATCTGCCCTCCTCAGCCTCCCAAAGCGCTGGGATTACAGGCACGAGCCAATGTGCCCGGCCGATATTATCCAGTAATTTCTAAGGTGACTTAAATCTTCTGGTTTGATCCTTTTATGAATTTTGTAGAATTTTGATGATTCACATACCACTAGGGGGAACTAAACCCCCTAAAGTTTTACTTTGATATATTTTAAATGTTGCAAAGCTATAAAATTTATCACTTATACAATTTTGATTTCAAGTTTTGTAGATAAGAGTTATTTTGAATATAAAACAGATTTCAACGTATAGTAGCAGTGGCCATGAATGAATGGAGCTTACTATCATACCTACCAATGCCAAGAAACAACCTGAATACAATTCAAATAACTTGTTGGGCCCTGTATGACAGACTTCTTGCAAAGAGCATTGAATGGTCACTTCCCATGGGTGATGATGTTTTAACATCTATACCTTTTATTTCTTTTTTCCCTCTCTGTGTATACAGGTTTATTAACATTTAGAGCTTTAGCCTGCAAAGACTGATTATTTCTCTTGTTTGTTTGTTCAGAGAAATGTGATGGGTTTTTGGAGCCTTTGCTATATTCAATTCCAGTTTATTAGTATGTAATAGAAAATAAAACTATTCTAGAAGACCTAGAATAACAAAAAATCATTTTATTAAATTGAATAAACTTGAAGGGTGAGGTAGAACATAGTTAAAACATAATATCCCCACAAAGAATCATGATGATGATGATGATGATGAAAGTCTATACTTATCTGAAATGAAGGTATGTATGTGATGGGTAAGAAAATTTTAAAAACCGGTAATAGCTAAGGAGACTACTGAGTTATCAAGATGGTCATCAATTAACAATGGAAAACTAGAGTTTATTTAATTTGTAACCAAATAAAAGATAATTTAGATAGAAATAAATAACTGCTTTAGGAAGCTCAGTTTTTCTGGTCCTTGAGTTAAAGATATCACATCATGATATGGTTAAATGTCTTAGAAATAGGGGAAATTTGATTTTGAGAATACATTGCACAGTATTAACCAGTATTTCATAGGCCCAGAGTGACCAATTTCATTTTCTAGGCCCTGCAGGAGTTTAGTGGATGATGAGCTTAGTGGATGACCACATATGTGATTCCCTGATTCCTGGGGTAGTGGATCTCTCAGCATTACACATTGATACACAAAGGGCTTTCTGTTATACACATGCAATTATTAGCAGAGACATCAATGCAATGTATTATTCCTAATGAATGGAGCACCATACAACCTAGACCATAAAGGACTATAGTGTCGAATGAGTTTAGAAAAACTCATCAGTTCTATTTCCCATTCCTGAAAGACAGAATAGTTATAACTAATTGTCTAAGGAGAAAAAAATAGATGCTGGTAACTGCAGTGCCTGGAAACTAACTAGTCTGTATTCGCATTCGGAGCTAAGTACTGCAAATAATATGTCTCAATGTGCTAGATCCTAGAGAAAATAAATAATGAAAATAACACTGTAATCATATTATTAATTTACAATGCTCCTCTCAAAACAGAATCTGGGACACTATGTGAGGAACAAACAAAAATTATCCCAATCTGGGCTCTTTGCCCAGAATTACAACCATACAAAAATATACATAGCTAAGGAAGAAAAAAGAATCTAGTCCAAAAAAGAAGGCAAAAATTAAAAAAAATATATGGAATTGAAGAACAAAATGTTTTAATTAAAACTATTAGTAAATCTAATAAGATGTATTTGTATATTATCAATAGAAAATAAGAGATGTGGTTACCAAAATAGAAAAATTACTTTTTTAATTAAAAATTCTAAATTGATGCATTTAGTGGACAAAGCATATTTTTAATTGCACAATAATGTATCAGCAATACAGCAAGCATTGTGAAATTCCTGGCATTGTTTTCTAGCTGAAATAATCTCTGATTTTATATGGGAGACCCTGGGAGCACATTTTCCAATGTGCTAATCATAATCAGTACATGTTTTAAAGTTGTGGGGCTTTGTTTGGGGATGTAGAATATTCAATGGAACAAAACATTAAATTGGTTAGGTGAAGTTTATGTTCACATAATAATAATAATTGGGTTAATAGATTAGAATGTGAAGTACACAGTGCATCAAAAATAATCTTTTATTGACTTCAGTAAACAACATATAACTCTAAATTCTGGGCTTTTAAATCAACAATCTGATAGTATATGTTTATACATAAAATAAAGGCTTCAGGGTCTTGGCAGCCATTTAATGTTCTCCAGGTTTATTCTCTCTCCTATTTTTGCTAGCATCCTCATATGGCATAGAAAATGAAATAGCAAAGACACCCATAATTACAAAAAACATTCACCAACTATCAATTAGACTATGTATCAGTCTACACCTGAAACTGTACATAAATATGAAATGACTTAACATAACCCATCTTAAGTGCATATGCTACATCAGAGCCTGTGACTATAATCTCACACAAAAGACTGATGTCCATTCTGTTGCTGTCAAGAAGAGGATATTCACTGAATAGCATTCCATTGGGTATATATGCCATGTTGTTTTATCCATTCATCCATTGATAGAAATATAAAAATAAGAAAACCCTGTCATTTGTGGCAACATAGGTGAATGTGGAGGATATTATGCTAAGTGAAATAAGCCAGGCACAGAAAGACAAATACCATATTATCTCACTCATATGTAAAACCTAAAAAAGTTGATCTCATAAAAGGCAAGATTAGAATGGTGATTAATAGGAGCAGAGAGAGGGGTTGGTGAGATGTTGGTCATAGAACACAAAATTTCAGTTGCACAGGAGGAGATATTTCAAGAGATCTATTGTACAACATGATTACTACACTTAATAACAATATATTGCATTCTTTAAAAATGCTGAGAGATTGAATGTTAAGTATTCTTTCTAAAAATGATAACTATGTGTGGTAATACATGTGTTAATTAGGTATATTTAGTCATTCCACAATGTATATATACTTTAATACATCATGTTGTACACAATAAATATATACAATTTTACCTGTAATTTTTCAAAAAGGAAGAGGACTTTGAAGGCAAATGAAACTATTAAACCCACCCCTAAACTTATAGTACTTCTAGCTTGAGGAGAAAAATTTCTAGTCAAAATAAATGTTCAAGGAGAAGGGAATGAGAACTATGACATTGCAAGTTCTGTTTGGCAAAAATATGAGTTCAAGAGATTGATAAGGAATGACAAAAAAGGTAGAAGGAAAACCAAACCAAACAAAATTTTGTTATTGAAACTAAGGACAGAGTGTTTCCATTAAGGGGATTGGGTTAATACTGTCATATGATAGAAAAGTAAAGAAACACATGTAGATGATGAACATTGGATTTAACATAAATAAATTATTTGATGATCTTCAAAAGGCAATGTTAGCTGAATGGTGAGGCTATTAATTCATACTGTAATAGGTTGAGGAATGGACAGAAAGTGAAATGGAAGAAGTGATACCTGTGACAGAGAAGAGAGAAAAAGTTGTAGACAATTGTGGAACTAAGAAGGTTTGTGCTTATTTCTAGATTAGATGGAAGAAATCTGGATACATTTTAAAATACTGATAGAGACTGAGCATGGTGGCTCATCCCTGTAATCCCAGCACTCTGGGAGGCTGAGGTATTAGGACTGCTTGAGCCTAGGAGTTAAGAGACCAGACTGAGCAACATAGCGATACCCTGTCTCTACAAAAATAAAATTTAAATAAAAAATAAAATAAAAATCCTGATAGAGGATAGTGAAGGAAGGATTGAACTTATAGAAAAGAAGACAAAAATTGCTTTTTTAGATATGAGAAATGAAAAGGACTCAAAGTTTAACAGAATAGTCAATTTTAGAGAGGATGTGTGTGGAGAAAAGATTAAGACATATACTGTTGAATTTGTATGAGTTGGGTGATGATTGATTATTGAATCTTTGTGTGTTTATGAAACAGAAGCACAGTCGTGTGCCAGTTATTTGTGATGACATGCTGTATTAGAACGTTTGTGGAGTGTGGAAATAAACTGTGGGAACAATTAAACAGGAAGCTCTCTGGGAAAATAGAATATCCCAGCAAAAATGTGGGAACCAAGATGACACTGGAAACCATGAATTTTCAGATGGACCCTCCTCTGAATTTGTGTGATTTTTATCAATTATAATAGAAATCCCACGTGTAGGAGCTATGCAAATAAAATGTAGATGATCTCAAAGGTTGTGCAAGAAAGGAAAGGGAAAAATAACATGAGTATGTTGATGTTACTGGCAATGGTAGGGTTGGGTCTCACCAACTGTGCAATGTGATTTGGGCAAAAAAAGAGGTGAAAATGGGCAAGCTATTGTGTATGGAGAAAATAATTGGGTTAAGAGATTAGAATGTGAATGAGTAAAAGCACATTCACAATGGGAGGAACAGAGTAAGTAAGACCTTAACAATTGTTTATACCCAGCCAGTGATTCGAATTTAGTCATTTCGAGCTCTTAGAGGCTATTAAGGAAGGAGCAAATAGGTGTGTGTATGTGTGTGTATGGAGAAGTGCCTTGTCTCCTCTGCTCCTCTGCTGACACTTAAACAGTTTATATATTTCCAGTGGCTTGAGTATATTTTTATGTAAGATACATTTTTCTAATATGGTAGTAAATAATTATTCCACTTTATATGATTTGCTGTCATGACAGAAGGATCTATAAATAGTTATATGTTTGATATTTTTTGTTAGTTTTGTGGCATATCAGCAATAAGAAAAGATATGATTTGTTAAAGTGATTTGAGAGTGCCTATATTCAGAGCTTTAATATTTTCATGTTTTAAAGTGAAAATTTCCCTTAAAACGACAATTATTTTACTGTTGAAAAGTCATCTATCAACTCTATCAAAAAAACTAAACCTTCTAATTGCAATGAATCTGTGTCATAAGTCACATCAATATGGGACTGGTACATTTTAACAAACAATATATTATTGAAGCTAACATATTGTTCCTTTTCTTTTAATTATAATAATCACCCAGTATCACTTTGCTGTTGAAACTCTGATTGTCAAATATAATTTGGCTCTTTCATGACAGTGACAGCTAATACCGAATGCTATTTTATATACTTTCACTTAAAATAGTTCATTTAGTGGTGTGCATACATTCAAAAATACTCTTTTAAGAGTAAGATTTTTTTTGCTTTCTGAAGGCCAGTGTGTTTATGTGTATGTACAAGTAGATCTTGCTTTTTAAAAAAATAACATTTGCTTTTACTTTACTTTTTAAAAACAATAAAGATTTCCGACTCAAATTCTTGTTGATACCAGGTGTCTAACATATGCGTTAGAATAGTTTATGCCATTTGCTCAATCCAGAAGTGCTGAAAGCCTTTATTTTTCTCCCATCACTTCCTGCAAACATAGTCCTGTCCTGGCACTGCCCGTCTTCCTGAAAGATCATAAACAGGTCCCATAGTCATCCGTCCATTTACAATTAGAACATTCATTATTACTATATCAACTTACTTTCAGATATTTTCAAATCCCCTCTACTGGAGCTTAAAAGTTTCCATTTCACATCTAAGTACCCTTCTCCTACTGATCAAAACACCATTGAAGTGGTTCAGGTCATGTCACCTTCTGTAGGCATCCATTTTGCTCCCAGGAATCTTATTTTTTCCATACAAAGTACTTGCTCTCCTGTACTTGACATCACAGGAAGCTCTAACGAATCCCTACTAACTTCAGAATTCTCCAGAAGAGAAGCCAACTCCAAGTTTCTTCATGCTCACCACTCTTTATAGAACACTCATGCCAAGCCCTTCCAAGATACTGTTTTCTCCATTAGGTACTGTAGTGAGCCTATGAATGTCTACAGCACAAGAAATATTCAATGTGTGTCTGTATACGGGGGTGAGTGGTTGATATTATTAGGCTATGGCTGAGATATTATTTAAACGTAAAGGTCTTTTTTTATCTACTCTCTTTATGACGTAGAAAGTTGATCCTTTATGCATTTATCTATTCGTTCCACAAATATTCATCAAAAGTCTACTTTATCTCAGGGATTTTGTATAGGCATAAAAAACAATGACAAAAAGTGCAAAGTCAATATTGTTCTCCTTCAGTAGAGATTACCTTCTAGTTATGGGAGAGAAACAATATGTCACAGGAGGTGATGACAGCTGTGAAGGAAAAATACAACAGAGAAATAAGGTACACAGTGACTTCATGAGCATGTATGATACTAGGATTTCTGGGAACAATGTCACTGATGTGGTGACCTCTGAAGAGTGATCTGAAGAAAATGACGAAAAGAGCTATCCAAACAGCAGAAGACAGAGGCTCTCTTCTGAGTAGCAAGGCCACTTTACTTTGCACGTTTAAGTAGCACCTAGAAAAATGTTTTGGGGCTGAGGGCAAAAGGCAAGAAGAAGAGTGAGAGAGAATAAAATCAGAGAGAGAAGGAGAGAAAGAGAGAGGGAAAGAGAAAGAGTATGGATATTAATGCATGTTTATATATTAGAGATAATGTTTGTGACACAATATAATATTAAAGAAATTGTCAATTTTCTGGTATATGCTGAATAACCATTTCAAAGCACACTCTTGCAAATTAGAAAAAATAAATTTACAGTGAAAATGTCCTGGCACTATTTTATATCATAATTTGAAGCACTTGTCATGTCTGTAAAAAGAGAAACACTATTTGTTCTTTAATTTAAAAGAATGCATTTAATTATGTCAGCAAAGTTTTAGCCAAAAGGCAGGCAAATATAGCAGATTTAGCAGAAAATAAGAAATCAATATTAATGAGAGCTTATCCAGTATAAATTTATTTGGTAATAAATAAAATATTAAAACAGAAGAGAAAAAAAAAACCTAAGGATTTTGCCTGGCGAAAATCCAAGCTGTCTCATTGGTGCACACTCATATAACCATTAAAAAACATATTCATGTTATGAATTTAGCTTAAAATCTAAAATTATAAAATCAATATGAATATTCAGGCAGAAGGGTCCAATATTCTGAATTTGGTAATATCTTACAATAACTTGAACTAAGATTCATATGAGCTGCTCTATTACAAAATAACCCTAGGGTTTTCTATTATCATGAAAAATATGAGCCTGTTAAATACCTGTGGTTGTTTGATGATTAAATACTTGACCTATATTTCTAGAAACAAGACTGAGGAAAGTATCTGCCAAAGTAATTTTATACGTTCAAAATAGTAACTAGATTTCAGAGAATCTGAAAGTCATAAGGGCCAAGTTAAAAGACATTTCAATTTATCTTCTGTGACAGTGAAGCTTCCACAATTTTGAATAAGAAACCATTACAGAAAATGTGCATTGCTTCATAAAGACTTAATATAAAAAGAGAAGCAATTCTTCAGAAATTAAGAATTTTACTATTTAAATACAAATTTTGTTAACATAATTTCTCATCCAGAAATGACAAAATAAATTCATATATTTTTTAATTTATGAAGGAAAGATGTTTAATTAACTCACAGTTCCATATGGCTTGCGAGGCTTCACAATCATGGTGGAAGGTGAATGAGGAGCAAAGTCACGTTTTACCTGGTGGCAGGCAAGAGAGAACACAAGTTCCCCCTACACAAAGGGGAACTACCCTTTATAAATCCTATTATAAACTGCCCTTTATAAAATCATCAGACTTATTCACTAACACAAGAACAGCACAGGAAAGACTCACCCCCATGAATCAATTACCTCCCACTAGATTCCTCCCATGACACATGAGAATTATGGGAGCTAAAATTCAAGATAAGTTTTGGGTGGGAACACAGCCAAACCATATAATTCTGCCCCCTGGCGCCTCCCAAATTTCATGCCCTCACATTTCAAAACCAATCATGCCTTCCCAACAGTCCCCAAAAGTCTTAACTCATTTCAGCATTAACTTAAAAGTCCACAGTCCAAAGTCTCATCTGAGACAAGGCAAGTCCCTTCCACAATGAGCCCCTAAAATCGAAAGCAAGTTAGTTACTTCCTAGATACAATGAGGGCACAGGCATTGGGTAAATACAACTGTTCCAAAAGGGATAAATTGGCTAAAATGAAGGGATTACAGGCCCCATGTAACTCCGAAATCAAGTAGGGCCGTCAAATCTTAGAACTCCAAAATGATCTCCTTTGGCTCCATTTCTCACATCCAGGTCATGCTGATGCAAGAGGTGGGTTTCCACGGCCTTGGGCAGCTCCATCCCTGTGACTTTGCAGGGTACAGCTCCCCTCCTGGCTGCTTTCACGGGTTGGCATTGAGTGTCTGTGGCTTTTCCAGAAATGACATGATAAATATTTCTAATATTATGCAACATGTAGCCTTGATTAAATAACCATCAAAGAAGTTTGATTAAAAGTTAATTTTATCAAATAATTATTTATATAATAAAAATAAATCTAGGAGAAATATTACAAGTATTATTACTACTTTGGCAAAATAGAATATTTTCATATGATATTTCAGTTACTTTAGCATAAATTGTTATAGGTAAAATATTTTTAAAAATGTAAACTCAAGAATGAATGACTATGAGGAAATCAGGCTATTTAAAGAACTGTCAGAAAACATGCACAATTCGGTTACTTCTGGTTCATTTTGTTAAAGGAATTTACCTGGAGGCTAAGTCATTTGTTTTTCCCTCAGTTCAAACTCTTAATTACATAGTTGGCGTACACACTATTGAAAAAAAAAAGGCTGTTGTAATTCTTGGAAACTGAAATAAGTTAAATCTTAGCTCAAGAATATATAATGTTTTGTACTCCTTTGTGACTTGTATTCTTTGTCTTACCTCTGTCCTTCTGGTTTATGTTCCAGCTAAAGAAAAAAAGATCTACATTTCTATTTTTCTTAGTCTTATTTCTAGAAGCCACATTGTTGTGGAGTTCTTTCTAGGAAGCTGCACTTCCTGGATGAAAATCCTACATATACCATATACAACATTTATGGCTTGGGAAAGTATTTGTAAATCTCAATGTCTGTTTTTTCTTGTCTGTACAAGGGGAATAATCTGTACCTATAGTACAGAGATACCATGAGGATTAAATGAGCTAATGCAGATATAATGATATATTAACTATTAGATTTCCTTTGTGGAGCGTAAATAAAATTTTTGTTTAAACAGTGACATTCTCTTTAGCAAATCTGTTGGCTCTGCATCTATCTTCATTCTTTTCATGTTCCTGTTAGCATCTATGTGGTCTAGAAAGTAGGGCAGAGATGTCACTGAACATCTTTCTTTGGCTTCATGGACTCTGCTATCATGAGGAGTGCAGTTTATAATAAGTGTAGACTCAATCTCTCTAAACCAAGGTGGTCCAGGGAAGAGCAACTCTTGTGACGTGTAAGGGTGGTACTGATCTGGAGCTTTGAGCATTGATGAAAAGAACTGGGGCATTTCACAGATGTAGATTAGTGAGCATATAAGTACAACAAGATAAATTGAAGGAAACCTGCAAAAGGAAGAAAGAATACTTCAACTTGATTTTAATTTAAGGTTTAGATATGGTAGAACTTTGGAAAAGGTCCTGGAAAAGGTTATGATGAAGTGACACAATAATAGAAAACTATTGATTTTTGTTGTTATTTATTTATTTTTTATTTTTATTTTTGTGGGGACATAGTAGATGTATATGTTTATGAGATACATGAGATACTTTGATACAGGCATATAATGCCTAATAATCACATTAGGTAAATTGGGTATCCATCACCTCAAGAATGTATTCTTTCTTTGTGTTAAAAACAATCCAAATATTCTCTTTTAGTTATTTTTGAATGTACAATAAATTATTATTGACTATAGCTACCCTGTTGTGCTATTAAATATAGATCATATTCATTCTATCTACCTATGTTTCTGTACCCAATAACCATCGCCACTCCCCCAACCCCGCGCTACACTTCCTAGCCTCTGATAACTATTATTCTACTCTCTATTTCCATGAGTTCAGTTGTTTTGTTTTTTCAGATTCCACACATGAGTGGAAACATGTGAATTTTGTCTTTCTGTGCCAGGCTTATTTCACTTAACATAATATCTTCCAGTTCTATCCATGTAGTTGCAAATGACAGGATCTCATTCATTTTTACGGCTGAATAATGCTCCATTGTGTATATAGGTACCACATATTTTTTATCCATTAATCTGTTGATGGACCCAAGTTGCTTCCAAATCTTGGCTATTGTGAATAGTGCTGAAATAAACATGAGAGTGCAGATTCATTTTCTATATCCTAATCTCCTTTCTCTAGGGTATATATCTAACCGTGGTGTTTTGGTAATTCTGTTTTTAGTTTTTCAAGAAATGTCCAAACTGTTCTCCCTAAATATTGTATTAATTTACACACCCACCAACGGTGTACAAGGGGTCCCTTTTCTCTGCATCCTCTCCAGTATTTGTCTTTGTTTGTCTCTTGGATAAAAGCCATTTTAACTAAGGTGAAATGATATCTCATTGTAGTTTTCATTTGAATTTTTCTGATGATCAGTGATATTGAGCACATTTCATATACATTTTGCCATTTGTATGTCTTCTTTTGAGAAATATCTATTCAGATATTTTGCCCATTTTGATTGGATTATTATTTTTTTTCCTATAGAGTTGCCTGGCTCCTTATATATTCTGGTTATTAATCCCTTGTCAGCTGGATAGTTTGCAAATATTTTCCCCCATTCTGTGGGTTGTATCTTCACTTGGCTGGTTTTTGCCCTTGCTGTGCAGAAGATTCCTAACTTGATGTGTTCCCATTTTTCCATTTTTGCCCTGATTGACTGAGCTCGTGGAGTACTACCCAAGAAATTTTTGCCCAGTCCAATGTCTTGGAGTTTCCCCAATATTTTCTTATAGTAGTTTCACATTTTTAGGTCTTAGAATTAAGTACTTAATCCATTTATTTTGATTTTTGTGTATGATGAGTGATAGGGCTCTAGTTTTATTCTTCTACATGTGGATATCCATTTCTCTCAGCACTATGTATAAAAGCGACTATCCTTTTCCTAGAGTATGTTTTTGACAACTTTGTCAAAAATAAGTTTATTGTAGAAGTATGTATGTATTTCTGGGTTCTCTATTCTGTTTCATTGGTCTATCTCTCTGTTTTTATATCACTACATTGTTGTTTTGCTTACTATATATACCTCTGTAGTATAATTTGATGTCAGGTAACATGGTTCCTCCCGTTTTGCTCTTTTTGCTCAGAATAGCTTTGGCTATTTTGGACATTTATTATACCATATAGATTTTAGGATTTTTTTCTACTTATGTGAAGAATGTCATTAGTATTTTCATAGGGATTGCTTTGAATCTATACATTACTTTGGGAAATGTATACATTTTAACAATATTAACTCTTCCAACTCATGAATATAAAATATCTTTCCCTTTTTTGGTGCCCTCTTCAATTCCTTGCATTAATGTTTTATAGTTTTCATTATAGAGATCTTCCCTTCTTTGGTTAAGTTTGTTGTTAGACATTTTATTTTATTATCTCTACTCCTTATGATACTAGCTGAGAGTGTCTCATATGTGACTTTTATTGTGTTATATGTTCCTTCTATATTCAGTTTTTGAGGATTTTTTTATCATGAAGGGATGTTGAATTTTATAAAATATTTTTGCATCAATTGAAATGATCATAAGGATTTTGTTTTTCATTCTGTTCATACCATATATCACATTGATTGATTTGCATATATTGAAGTATTTTTGCATCCCTTGGATAAATTCCACTTGCTCAGGATGAATGATCTTTTTAATGTGTTTGAGTTTGGTTTGCTAGTATTTTGTTGAGTATTTTGTGTCAATGTTTATCAGGAATATTGTTCTGATTTGTTTTTTTCTTTTTTTTTTTTTGACATGTCTTTAGTTTTAGTATCAGGGTAAAACTAGCCTCATACAATAAGTTTGGAAGTATCCCTTCCTCTGCTATTTTTCTGAATAGTTTTGAGTAAGATTGATATTAGTTCTTCTTTACATATTTGGTAAAATTCAGCAGTGTTGACATTGTGTCCCAAGCTTATTTTTGCTAGGAGATTTTCATTGTCTTTGATCTTGATACCTAGTGTTGTTCTGTTCAGGTTTTGGATTTTTCATGGTTCAAGTTTGGTAGATTGTATGAGTCTAATAATTTATCCATTTCTTCTAAGTTTTCCAATTCATTGGTATTTATTTGCTAATGATCCCTTGAATTTCAACATTATTGGTTGTAATGTCTCATTTTTCATCTCTGATTTTATTTATTTTGGACTTCTCTCTTTTTTTCTTAGGCTAAAGGTTTGTAGATTTTATCTGATCAAAAACAGCTTTTTATTTCATTGATTTTTTTTCAATTTTATTTATATCTGCTCTAATTTTTGTTACTTATTTTCTTCTAATTTTAGGTTTGGTTTACTCTTGATTTTCTAATTCTTATGTTACATCAGCACCTTGTTTATTTGAAGTTGTTCTACTTTTTTGATCTGGCACTTATTGCTATAAACTCCCCTCTTAGTACGTCTGTATTAGTCCATTTTCATGCTGCTGATAAAGATATGTCCAAGCCTGATAATAAAGAAGTTTAACTGGACTTAAGTTCCACTTGGCTGGGGAGGCCTCAGAATCATGGCGGGAGGTGAAAGGCACTTCTTACTTGGTGGTGGCAAGAGCAAAATGAGGAAGATACAAAAGTGGAAACCCTTGATAAAACCATCAGATCTCATGAGACTTATTTTCTACTACGAGAACAATATGAGGGGAAACTGCCCCCATGATTCAAATTATCTTCTACTGAGTCCATCCCACAACACATGGGAATTATGGGAATACAAATCAAGATGAGATTTGGGTGGGGACACACAGCAAAAGCATATCAACTGCTCTTAAGGTATCACATAGGTTTTGGTATATTGTGTTTTCATTATCATTTGTTTCAATATACTTTTAAATTTTCTTCTTAATCTCTTCATTTACCCACTGGTCATTCAGGAGTATATTGTTTAATTTCCATGTATTTGCATAGTTTCCAAAATTCCTCATTTTATTGATTCCTAGTTATATTCTATTGTGGAGAAAGAAGATAGTTGAAATTATTTCAATATTTTTTATTTTTTAAAACTTTTTTTGTGGCCTAGCAAATGGTCTGTTCTTGAGTGTCATCCATGTGCCTAGGAGAAGAATGTGTATTCTGCACCTGTTGGATGAAATGTTCTGTAAATATTTATTAGGTCTGTTGGGCCTGTAGTGCAGATTATGTCCAATGTTTCTTTGTTGATTTTCTATCTAGATGACCTGTTCAATGCTGAAAGTGGGGTATTAAAATCTCCAGCTATTATCGTATTGGGGTTTATCTCTCTCTTTAACAATATTTGCTTTGCATATCTGGGTGCTTCAGTGTGGGGTACATATATATCATGTATATTTATAATAGTCATGTCCTCTTGCTCAATTGACTCCTTTATCATTATATAATGTCAGTTTTGTCTCTTCTTACAGTTTTTATCTTGAAATCTATTTTGTCTGTTATAAGTAGAGCAACTCGTGCTCTTTTATGGTTTCTGTTTTCATGGAATATCTGTTTTCATCTCTTTATTTTTCATTTTGTTGGTGAAATGTGTTTGCTATGTAGGCAACAAATCATTTGGTCTTTTTTTAAATCTATTAAGCCATTCTGTCTTTTGCTTGGAGAGTTTAGTCTATTTATATTCAATGGTATTATTGATAATAATTAAAGACTTACTCCTGCCATTTTGTTATTTGTTTTCTAATTGTTTTGTGGTCTCCTCTTTCTTTTCTCCTTCCTTTCTGTCTTAATTTTATTGTAGATGATTTTCTCAGGTGGTATGTTCTAATTCCTTGCTGTTTATTATTTGTTTATCTATTGTATATATTTCTAGTTAAAGTTGCCATGAGGCTTGAAAATAATATAACTCATTATTTTAAACTGATGACAACTTAACACTGATTAATAAACAAACAAACAAGGAGACAACTAATAAAACTCTCTGTTTTAACTTCAACCTCTGCTTTTTCCCTTTTATTTCTGTTGTATCTCATTGTATTGTTTATGTATTCAAAAGTTATTGTCATTATTATTTTTGATGGGTTCATCTTTTAGACTTTCTACTCAAGATACACCACAATTACAGTGTTATAATATTCTGTTTTCTGTCCACTTATTATTGTAAGTTTTATACCTTCAGATGATTTCTTATTTCTCATTAATGTCTTTTTCTTTCAGATTGAAGAACTCTCTTTAGCATTTTCTGTAGTACAGTCCTTGTGCTGATGAAATCCCTCAGCTTTGTTTGTCTGAGAAACTCTTCATTTCTCCTTTATGATTAAAGGATGTTTTCTCTGGATATACTATTTTAATATATTTATATATATGTATTTTCCTTTAGCACTTTAAATATGTCATGCCACTTTTTTCTGGCTAATAAGGTTTCCAATGAGAACACTGCTGCTGCCCGCTGTATGGGAATTTCTTTGTATGTTATTTTTTGCCTTGCTCTTGCTCTTTCTGCTTTTAAGATCCTTCCTTTGTCTTTGACCATATTGAGTTCGATTATTAAATATCTTGAGATAGAACTATTTGTGTTAAATCTCATTGTTCTACAGTTTTCTTTTGTTTTGTCGTTGCTCTTGATGCTTCTGCTGCTGATGTTGCTGTTTTCTCTGACAGCAGGACAAGAAGGAATCTACAGGCAAGAATTGATGGCATTTGTTGAGTGAGGCAGGAAGCTCAGAGGAAACTAGTGTAAAATCTTATGAAAAATCATGTTAAGGAACTAAACTTGGACATATGTTATTAATGGAAAGGAAGAAATTCATGGGGGCATATACCTATATAATAATGAAGAAGAAGTAATTTGTTGAAATCTATCCTGAGTTCTAAAAGAGTGACTTTCTATCTTCAGGTTCCTACTTTTATTTATGGAGATTAATTTTTAGACAGGTTCCCACTACCTTGGAAGCAACAGTAATATTTTTAATTACTCTGTTTATCAGTCATATCTCCTTTTACTATAAAATGCTTTGCTTCATTGTGTTTCACAGATATTGTTTTATACAAATTGAAACTTTCCATCAAGACTTGCATTGGGCAAGTCTTTTGGTGCCATTTTTCCAATAGCATGTGCTCACACTGAGTCTCTGTCACACTATAGAAATTCTTACTTTTAACCTTTTCAGTATCATTATATCTGGTATAATGATCTTTGATCATTTATCTTTCATGTTACTACTGCAATTGGATTTTTTAACTTTTATTTTAAATTCAGGGGTACATATGCAAGCTTGTTATATTGTCAAACAGTGTCATGGGGGTTTATTATACAGATTATTTAATCACCCAGGTATTAAGCCTATTACCCATTAGTTATCTTTCTTTATCCTCTCCCTTCTCCCACCCTTCATCTTTTGATAAGACTTAATATGTGTTTTTCCTTTCTATGTGTTCATGTGTTCCCATCATTTAGCTACCATTTATAAGTAAGAGTATGCAGTATTTGGTTTTCTGTTCCTGCATTAGTTTGCTAAGGATAACGGCCTCCAGCTCCATCCATGTTCCTGCCAAAACATGATCTCATTCTTTTCTAATGAATGCACAGTATTCCATGTTGTACATGTACCACATTTTCTTTATCCAGTCTGCCACTTATGGGTATTTAGGTTGATTTCATGTCTCTGATATTATGAATAATGCTTCAATAAACATACATGTGCATGTGCTTTTATGATACAATGATTTGTATTCCCAAAGGAATACAAATAATAATGGAATTGTGAGTTAAATGGTAGCTCATTTTAGCTCTTTGAGGAATCACCACACTGCTTTCAACAATGGTTGAACTAATTTACACTCCCACTAACACTGTGTAAGTATTCCCTTTTCCCTGCAACCTTGTCAGCATCTGGTTTGTTTATTTATTTATTTATTTATTTATTTATTTATTTATTTTTTGGATGGAAGAGCTTCACAAATTATTTGAAATTTTCCTGCACAGGAGATGTATCCTATTTCTTTGTACCCATTTGTTTACTTACTCAACCCTTTATGTCCGTGTAGACAGAAATATTTATTGTATATATACCTGAATTATAATCTACTGCTACCTTATTCATTTTATTGCTCAAATTGTTCGAGTATTGCTCAAATTGTTTGAGTAATAGGCCATTAGGAACTGCTTACATTGGCTCTAGTCTGATATTTTTTGACCATTTAATAATAGCCATTCTGACTGGTATGAGGTTGTATCTCACTGTGGTTTTGATTTGCATTTCTACTATGTTCAGTGATGTTGAGCTTTTTTTATATGTTTGTTGGCCACATGCATGTCTTCTTTTGAAAAGTGTCCGTTCATGTCCTTTGCCAACTTTTTAATGAGGTCTTTTTTTATTGTAAATCTGTTAAAGTTCCTTATGGATGCTGGATATTAGACCCTTATCAGATGCATAGTTTGCAAATATTTTCTCTTATTTTGTAGGTTGTATGTTTACTCTCTTGATAGTTTCTTTTGCTGTGAAGAAGCGCTTTAGTTTAATTAGATTACATTTGTCAACTTTAGCTTTTGTTGCAGTTGCATTTTGTGATATTTGTTAGGAAACCTTTGCCCATTCCTACTTACAGAATCATATTGCCTAAGTTGTATTTCTAGGTTTGCATAGTTTTGAGTTTTACATTTAAGTTTTTAATCTATCTTGAGTTGATTTTTTATATGGTTTAAGAAAGGGGTCCAGTTTCAATCTTCTACACATGGCTAGCCAGTTATCCTAGCACCATTTATTGACTAGGGAGTCCTTTCCCTATTGCTTTGTCAGCTTTGGTCAGCTTTGTTGAAAATCAGACAGTTGTAGGTATGCAGCCTTATTTCTGGGCTCTGTATTCTCTTCCATTGGTCTATGTATGTTTTTGTACAGTACTATGCTGTTTTGGTGACTGTAGCCCTGTAGTATAGCTTGAAGTTGAGTACCATGATTCCTCCAGCTCTGTTGTCTTTGCGTAGGACTGCCTTGGTATTAGGGGCAATTTTTAGTTCTATATGAATTATTAATTTTTTCTAGCTCTGAAGAAAATGTCATTGGTAGCTTGATAGAAACCAGTACTGAATCTATAAAATGTTTTTTGGACAGTATGGCCATTTAAATAATATTGATTCTTCCTATCCATGAGCATAATATATTTTTGTCTACTTATTTGTATCATCTCTAATTTCATTGAGCAGTGTTTTGTAGTTCCCCTTGTGGAGATCTTTCACCTTTCTTGATAGCTATATTTCTAGGTATTTCATTCTTTTTCGTGGTAATTGTGAATGGGATTGCATTCTTGATTTGGCTCTTGGCTTGACTGCTGTTGGTTTATAGGAATGTTAGTAATTTTTGTATGTTTATTTTGTATCATGATACTTTGCTGAATTCTGTGAGGTTTTCTAGATATAGGATCATGTCATCTGCAAACAAGGATAGTTTGACTTTCCTTTTTTCTATTTCAGTGCTCTTTCAGAACTAAACTAAATGAGACTGAGACACTAAGAATCGTATAAAAGATCAACACATCCAGGAGTAGGTTTTCTTTAAAAATTAGTAAAATAGACTACTAGCTAGACTAATAAGAAAAGAGAAAAAATTCAAATAAAAACAATTAGAAACAGTCAATGGGATATTACCACTGACCCCACAGAAGTACAAATAACCAACAGAGAATATTATGAACACCTCTTTGCACACAAACGGGAAAATCTTTGCACACAAACTAGAAAACTGGATAAATTCCTGGACACATACTCCCTTCCAAGACTGAACCAGGAAGAAATTGAAACCCTGAACAAACCAATAATGAGCTCTGAAATTGAATCAGTAATAGTCTACCAAACAAAAATGCCCAGAACCAGATGGATTCACAGCTGAAGTTTACTGAATGTACAAAACAAGAGCTAGTACCATTCCTACTGAAAGTATTCCAAAAATTCGACTAAAAGGGAATTCTCCCTAACTCCTTCTGTGAGGCCAGCATCATCCTGATGCTGAGCACAACAAAAAAAAGAAAACTTTATGCCAATATCCTTAATGCAGTTGTTTTGAGAGACCACAATCTGTGCCCGTATAAGACAGTAAACTAATCAATAAATGTGTTATCTGACTACAATTCCACCAACCTACAATTTTCCCATCTCTTCTCTCTCTTTAGGCCTCCCTATTCTCTGAGATACAACAATATTTAAAGTAAGTTACGTAATAACCCTACAATGGCCTCCAAGTGTTTAAGTAAGTGTTGTATATACACTTTTAATCAAAAGCTAGAAGTGATTAAGCTTAATGAGCTTAATCACACACATGTTGAAACACACATGTTGAAAGCTGGGATAGGCTGAAATCTAGGTTTCTTATGCCAGTTAACCAAGTTGTGAATGCAAAGCTAAAGTTTTTGAAGGAAAAGTGCTATTATAGTAAACACACAAATGATAAGAAAGCAAAACAGTAAAAAAATGCTGATATGGAGAATATTTTACTGGTCTTTATAGGTCAGACCAGCCACAACATTCCCTTAAGGCAAAATCTAATACAGAGCAAGGTCCTCATCACTGAGGCAAGACCCTCTACCAGCAAAAAGAATATGACTTGTGGAAGACTCAAAAGATAGTTAGCAATTTTAGCAAAGAGTATTTTAAAATTTAAGATATGTTTTTTTTTTTCTTTTCTAACCTTCACTTATGAAGCTTAGTTCGGCCGGATATGAATTTGTGGGTTGAAAATTCTTTTCCTTAAGAATGTTGAATATTGGCCCCCACGCTCTTCTGGCTTGCAGTTTCTGCTGAGAGATCTGCTCTTAGTCTGATGGGCTTCCCTTTGTGGGTAACCTGACCTTTCTCCCTGGCTGCCTTAACATTTTTTCCTTCATTTCAACCTTGGTGAATCTGACAATTATGTGTCTTGGGGTTGCTCTTCTCGAGGAGTATCTTTGTGGCATTCTCTGTATTTCCTGAATTTGAATGTTGGCCGGCCTTGCTGGGTTGGGGAAGTTCTCCTGGATAACATCCTGAAGAGTGTTTTCCAACTTGGTTCCATTCTCCCCATCACTTTCAGGTACATCAATCAGACTTAGATTTGGTCTTTTCACATAGTCCCATATTTCTTGGAGTCTGTTCATTTATTTTTACTCTTTTTTCTCTAAACTTCTCTTCTTGCTTCATTTCATTCATTTTATCTTCAATCACTGATACCCTTTCTTCCAGTTGATCGAATCAGCTACTGAAGCTTGTGCATTGGTCACATAGTTCTGTGCCATGGTTTTCAGCTTCATCAGGTCATTTAAGGTCTTCTCTATGCTGTTTACTCTAGTTAGCCATTCATCTAATCTTTTTCCAAGGTTTTTAGCTTCTTTGTGATGGGTTCAAACATCCTCCTTTTGCTCAGAGAAGTTTGTTATTACTGATCTTCTGAAGCCTACTTTTGTCAACTCGTCAAAGTCATTTTCCATCCAGCTCTGTTCCATTGCTGGTAAGAAGCTGGTTCCTTTGGAGAGAAGAGGTGCTCTGATTTTTAGAATTTTCAGCTTTTCTGTTCTGGTTTCTCCCCATCTGTGTTGTTTTGTCTACCTTTGGTCTTTGATGATGGTGACCAATGGTCTTTGATGATGGGGTTTTGGTGTGGATGTCCTTTTTGTTGATGTTGATGCTATTCCTTTCTGTTTGTTAGTTTTCCTTCTAACAGTCAGGACTCTCAGCTGCAGGTCTGTTGGAGTTTGCTGGAGGTCCACTCCAGTCTCTGTTTGCCTGGGTATCACCAGCAGAGGCTGCAAAACAGCAAATATTGCAGAACAGCAAATGTTGCTGCCTGATCCTTCCTCTAGAAGCTTCGTCTTAGAGGGGCACCCGGCTGAATGAGGTGTCAGTTGGCCTCTAGTTGGAGGTGTCTCCCAGTTAGGCTACTCGGGGGGTCAGGGACCCACTTGAGGAGGCAGTCTTTCCATTCTCAGATCTCAGACTCCATACTGGGAGAACCACTACTCTCTTCAAAGCTGTCAGACAGGGACATTTAAGTCTGCAGAAGTTTCTGCTGCATTTGGTTCAGCTATGTCCTACCCCCAGAGGTGGAGTCTACAGAGGCAGGCAGGCCTCATTGAGCTGCCCAGTTCGAGCTTCCCGGCTGCTTTGTTTACCTATTCAAGCCTCAGCAATGACAGACGCCCCTCTCCCATTACACAGTGGTAGAAGCTTCATTTCAAGTGTGCTATTGGACACTTAATAGGATATAGTATATTATAAACATAATTTTTATAATTACTGGGAAACCAAAACATTTGTGTCACTGGCTTTATTGATACATTTGCTTTATTGTGGTGGTCTGGAACTGAACACCTAATATATCTGATGTATACTGGTAATTAATGAATAAAATGTGCTTATGAAGTTGCAAATCTAGATTATGAATAATATTTATCTAATCTTACTTTTATTATTTTTTCATTAAACAAGATAAGTATATATCAATAAATATGGTTTACAATAAAAATGTAGTAGTCATTACTCAGCAGAATGTATAGTCTTGAAATATTTCTTATAAAATTGTTTAAAAGCATACAGATAACTTAGTAGTAATAATAATTATGAACTATTATAAGACACTTAGAAATGAAATAAACTATGTCCAAAGGCCAGATATTTTAATAACAAAATTAATCATTTAAAAATCTGTATACATTTTCAAAATATATTTGAAGTGTTTTCACCTAAATCACTATCGGATATAAAATAAAATCCAAGATCAACATTACTTTACTCACAGAAAAAAAGGACCTTTAATATCAAAACCTTAAATAATTTCAGAACTACTACTCAAAAGCAAATTTAAAATAAATATTTAAACTGTTCAGATTAAGATTGAAACTAATTGGATTAATCATTTAAGCAATACAATTTTAAAATTACAACAAATAAAATTCTTGTAAGCTCTATGGACATATGGGAAAATTATGGAGGAAAGGTAAGAGGAATCTAATAAAAACCTCAGATGAAATACATAACTCTGAAAATGATACACTCAGGAACCTGAAAACAACTAAGAAAACTCTTTGGCTTTCTGTTCACTAAGAAAAATGTGTTCTATGTCAAAAGAATATAGAAGAAATATGAAATTAACTTAGAAAGTAGATAAAGCAAGAAAATTGATAAATTTAAAACTCAGTTACTTGTCAGAAAGAAATCTAAATGGCGTTCTTGTAGGTTCTGGAAAAGGCTAGCAAATATAATTAAAATTTTAAAGAGGAAAATAATAAAATCAATATTGAGAAACTGGATGGAGTAACTATGTCTAAGTTATTTTTAAAAGTTAAAAAATAATACAAATAATTTCATAATAATATTTAAAATTGAGAAAAAATTATTTTAATTAATCTTACATTATTATTTAGTTAATATTACTTCTTAAATTATATATGATATATGAAAATATTTTGGGGGTACATGTGATAATCTGATACATTCATATAATGTGTAAATATCAAATTAGGGTAATTGGGCTTCCCATTACCTTGATATTTATATCAGGGCACATATTCATATAATGTGTAAATATCAAATCACGGTAATTGGGCTCCCCAGTATCTTCAGTTTTTGTATTTTCTTTATGATAGGAACATTTACGTTATTGTCTTATAGCTGTTTTAAAATATACAATAGACTATTGTATATTTCAGTGATTGTCATCTTAATGATCTATCCATCATTAGGACTTATTTCTTTTATCTAATTATATATTTGTACTCATTGGTCAACCTCTTTTTATCTCCCTATGCCAATTTTCCCAGACTCTGATAACCATGTTAACCTAACAACTGATTATATTCATGAGATCAACATTTTAAGCTCCCACGTATGAGTGACCACATCTATCTTTCTGTGCTTAGCTTATTTCACTTAACATAAGGACCTCCAGTTTCATCCATGTTGCTGCAAATGACAGGATTTCACTATTTTATGTCTGAATAATAGGCTATTGTGTATAAAACCATATTTTCTTTATCCATTCCCCCATTGATAAACACAGGTTAATTCCATATTTTGGCTATTTTGTATAGTGCTGCAATAAGCATGAGAGTTCACATCTTTTTTCAATACATTGGTTTCCTTTCTTTTGGATGTAACCCTAATAGTGAAATTGCTAGATCATATGATAATCCTACGTTTAGTATTTTTATGGCAACTACATACTGTTTTTCATAACGGTTGTACTCATTTACCTTTCTACCAACAGTATACACACATTCCCCTTTCTTCACAGCCTCACCACCATGTTCTTGTTCTTCCCCGTCTTTTTAATGAAGTGTTTTTAACTGAAATGGGATAATATCTCATTGTGATTTTGATTTGCATTTCCCTGGTGATTAGTGATGTTGAGCACTTTCTCATATTCTTGTTGCCACTTGTATGTCTTCTTTTGCGAAATATCTATTCAGAGCTTTTGCCCAATTTTAATCAGATTCTTTGTGGGGATTTTGTGTTTTTTCTTTATTGCTATTGAGTTGTTTGAGCTTTATGTATTCTTTATATATTCTGGTTATTAGTCCCTTGTCAAATGAGTAGTTTGCGTATATTTTTTCCCATTTTCTGAGTTGTCTCTTCACATTCTTGATTAATTCTTTGGCTGTGCAGAAGCATTTTACCATGATGTAATCCCATTTGTCTACTTTTCATTTTGTTCTCTGTGCTTTTGAGATTTTACACAAAAAAAACTTTGCTCAGACCAATACTCTAGAGCATTTCTGCAATGCTTTCTTCTAGTAGTTTCATAGTTTCCAGTCGTAGGTTTAAGTCTTTAAATAATTTTTACATTTTTTTTAATACAGTGAGTGATCAGAGTCTACATTTAGTGTTTTGCAGATGGTAATCCAGTTTTCCCACCACTGTTGATTGAAGACACTGTCCTCTCCGGATTGTATATTGTTGTGATATGGTTTGGCTCTGTGTCCCCACACAAATCTCATCTTGAATTGTAATCCCCATAATCCCCACATGTTTGTGATCCCCATAATCCCAACATGTGAGGGATGGACCTGGTGAAAGGCAATTGAATCAAGGGGGCAGTTTCCCCCATGCTGGTCTCATGATAGTGATGGAGGGATTTCTCACAAGATCTGACGGTTTTATAAATGTTTGACAGTTCCCCATTCACAGACTTTCTCTCTTGCTTGTTGCCATGTAAGACATGCCTGTTTCACCTTCTGCCATGGTTGTAAGTTCCTGAGGCCTTCCCAGCCATGCAGAACTGTGAGTCAATTAAATCTCTTTTCCTTATAATTTACTCGGCATTGGGTAGTACCTTAAGAGCAGTGTCATACACTAATACAGTTGGTATCTTTGTTGAAAATAAGTTGGCTTTAAATGCATAGATTTATATTTAATTTTTCTGTTCCATTCAGTTGGTGTTTATGTTTGTTTTTATGCCTGTATGATGGTGTTTTCATTACTATAGGTTTTCAATATATTTTGAAGTCAGGTAGTCTGATTCCTCCAGTTTTGTTCATTTTGCTCTGGATTGCTTTGACTATTCAGGGTCTTTGTAGTTATATATACATTTTAGGATTGTTACTTCCGTTTGCTTATATAATTATTGCATTAAATCTGTAAATTGCTTTAGGTATTGATATGGTTTGGCTCTGTGTCCCCACCCAAATCTCATCTTGTAGCTCCTATAATTTTCACATGTTGTGGGAGGGACCTGTGGGGAGATAATTGGATCACAGCATGGGTCTTTCCCCTGCTGTTCTCATGATAGTGAATAGGTCTCACAATATCTGGTTGTTTTAGAAACAGCAGTTTTCCTGCATGAGTTCTTTTTCTTCCCTACTGCCATGTAAGATGTGCCTTTCACCTTCCACCATGATTGTGAGCTTCTTCAGCCACATGGAACTGTAAGTCCCTTAAACCTCTTTCTTTTGTAAATTGCCCAGTCTCTTGTATGTCTTTATGAGCAGCATGAAAATGGACTAATACAGGTATTATTGTTATTTTAACAATATTAATTTTCCTGTCCATGAGCTTGGAATACCTTTTTTTAATGTTCTTTTCAATTTCTTTCATTGGTGTTTTATAGTTTTCCTTTTATAGATCTTTTCACTGCTTTGGCTAAATTTATTTCTACATATTTTGTATTATTTGTAAGTGGGATTACTTTTTTAATTTTTTTCACATTGTTCAATGTTGGCTTATATAAAGGCTACTACTCTTTTATGTTGACTATATATTCTGTAGATTTACTGAATTTGTATATTAGTTCTGACAGTTTTGGGTAGTCTTTAGTGTTTTTTTTTCTATATTAGCATGTTGCCTGTGCACAAGGATAATTTGACTTATTTATGTTCAATAGATGCCCTTCATTTTTCTTTCTTGCTTAAAAAAATTGTTCTAGCTGGGAATTCCAGTATTACATTGAATAAAAGTAGAGATAATGGGCATCCTTGTTTCAGATCTTAGAGAAAGAAATTTCAATTTTCCCCTGTTCAGTATGATATTAGTTGTGGGGTTCTCATATATGACCTTTATTATTTTGAGATATACTCCTTCTACACCAAGTTTTTTGAGAGTTTTTATCATTAAAGTAACACTGAATTTTGTCTAATGTTTTTTCAGCATCTATTGATATCATATGGCTTTTGTTCATTGTTCTGTTAATGTGATGTATCATGTTTATAGATTTTTGTAGGTTAAATCATTCTTGCACAGTGGGATGTATATATATACTTATCCTGGGATGAACCCCTCTTGATTGAGGTAAATGATATTTTAATGGTTTGTAAAATATTATTTCATATTTTGTTGAGAATTTTGACATATGTATTCACCAGTAACACTGACCTATACTTTTCTTTTTTCTTGTATCTTTGTCTGGTTTTGATGTCAGGTTAATACTAACCTCGTTGAATAAGTTTGGAAATATTCCAAGCTTTAATTTTTTTTTGAAGACTTTGAATAGAATTGGAATTAGTTAATTAAATGTTTGGTAGAGTTCGTCAGTGATTCCACTAGGTTTTGGAATTTTCTTTAATAGAAGACTTCATTATGGCATCAGTCTCACTACTCATTTTTGCTTTGTTAAGGTTTTCTGTTTCTTCATGGCTCATTCTTGGTAGGTTATATGTGTCCAGGAACTTTTCAGTTTTTTTCTAGGTTTTCCAATTTGTTGGCATATAGTTGTGCACAATAGTGTCTAATGATTTTTGCATTTCTGTGGTATAAGTTGCTATAACTCATTTTTCATTTCTGGTTTTATTTATTTGGGTCTTCTTTTTAAAGTTTGTCTAGCTGAAAGTTTTGTTGATGTTGTTTATCTTTCTTAAAATCAACTTCATTTTGTTAATCTTCTGTATTCTTTTTAATCTCAATGTTATTTATCTCTGCTCTAATCTTTATTATTTCATCCCCTGTATTAATTCTGGGTTTGATTTATTCTTGCTTTTCTAAGTCCTTAATGTGTGTCACTTGTTTATTTAAGTCTTTACACTTTTTTGGTATAGATATTTATTGTTATAAACTTCCCTCTTAGTACTGCTTTTGCCATATCCCATGGATTTTGCGGTGTTGTATTTACATTTTCAATTGTTTAAATTTTCTCTTTAATTTCTTCATTCACATGTTAGTCATTCAGGAGCATGTTGTTTAATTTCCATGTGTTTGTGTAGTTTCTGAGTTTCCTTTTGTTATTGATTTCTAGTTTTGTTTCATTGTTGTCAGAAAATATTATATGATTTCTTGTTTTTTCAATTTGTTGAGATTTGATTTGTCACCTAAGATACAGTCTATATTCTGAAGATTGTTCCAAGTGCTGATGTAAAGAGTGTGTATTCTGCAGAAGTTGCATGAAACTAGACCTCTTTGGTCTAGTGTGTAGTTTAATTCTGATGTTTCTTTATTGATTTTCTTTCTGAATGAATTGTCCATTACTGACAGTGGGGTGTTGAAGTCCCTTACTACTATAATATTGCAGTGTATCTCTCCCTTTAGATCTATTAATGTTTGTTTGTTGCATATACTTGGGTGTTCCAATGTTGGATGCATATTTATAATTGATGTAGCCTCTTGCTGAACTGATCTTTTATTATTATATAGTGACTTTCATTGTCTCTTGGTATAATCTTTGACATTTTGTCATTTTATGTTATGTGTATAGTTCCTCCTGCTCATTTTCGGTTTCCAGCTGCATGTAATATCGGTTTTAACACTCTTACCTTCAGTATATGTACGCATTTATAGGTTAAGTGGGTTCTTGTTCCTATATTCATTTAGCCACTCTATGTGTTTTAACTGAATAACTGAGTCCATCAATATTCAGTGTTATTGATAAATGGCATGTTATTGCCATTCTGTTGCTTGTTTTCTGGTTGTTTTGCAGCTCTGTTCTTCCTTTCTCCCTTTCTTACTGTTTTTCTTTGTGGTTAAGTTTTTTTCTGGTAAAATTTTTTTTAACTTATTGCTTTTTGTTAGTGAGTCTATTATAATTTGTGCATTGTTGGTACAATGAACTTATAAAAACAACTTAAACAAGTTATTTTAGAGAAATGATGACCTAGATCACAAAGAAAAGAATAGGAACAAAGAGAAGAACAAAAAGAAAGAAAAAAAAACCCTTTACACTTCAGCTCCCCCATACAATTTTGATTTTTTGTTTCGCAATTTACATATTTGCATATTGCCTACCTCTTAACAGGTTACTGTAGCTACTCTTATTTTTAATAGGTTTCTCTTTTAGGCTTCATTCTACAGTTATTAGTGAATTACACATTATAATTATGATATTAGAATATTTTGGATTTGTCTGTGCACTTAATTTTATCAGTGGGATTTTGACCCTTCCAATATTTTCTTTTTGCACATTAGTGTATTTTTCTTTTAGATTCAAGAATTGCCTTTCACATTTCTTGTAAAATAGGTCCTGTGGTTCATTAATTCTCTCAGGTATTGTTTGGGAAAAAATTTCTCTCTCCTTCATATTTGAAGGACAGAATTGCTGAATACAGTACTTTTGTATGGCACTTTTTTTTTCCTTAATACATTTTTAAAATGTCATTCTGCTTCTTTCTGGCCTGTATGGTTTCTGTTGAGAAGTCCATTTTTAGATGAATTGGAGCTCCTTTATATATTATTTGCTTCTTTTCTCTTGCTGATTTTAGAATCCACTCTGTCCTTTATTTTGCAGAGTTTGGTTATTACGTGCTTTGAGATTATCTTAGTGGGCTGGATCTGTTTGGTGTTCTCTGACGTTTCTGCACCTGGATGTGTATATGTTTCTCAAGTTTTGAGAAGTTTTCTATGATTATTTGTTTCTTTCTTTCCCTCACTATTGCTCAGTTGCCTGTTGAACATTAATAATTCTTATATTTGTCTTTTCAGATAATTTTCTCTATTTGCAGGTTCTATTTGTTCTCTCTCATTCTTTTTTTCTTTTTCTCCTCTGATTGTGTTTTCAAATAGCCTGTCTTTGAGCTCACTGATTATTTGCTCTGCTTGATCCATTCCACTCTTGTCTACTGTGATTTTGGTAATAATAGAGTTTTCTTAAAACAGCTATTTTAAATTATTGGTCAGAACACTCACATATTGCCATCTTATTAGGGTCAGTACTTGGTTTCTTATTTTTCCATTTAGGGAGGTCGTGGTTCTCTATTGTTGTTGTTTCTTGTGGAAGTATGTCTATGTCTTTGCATTGAAGGATTAGTTCTTTATTCCAATCTTCTCTGTCTGGCTTTTTTTTTTTATTGTATACATTTGCTTAGAGATTCTTTGTAATTTACCTGTTGAATTTCTCTCTCTCTCTCTCTCTTTTCCCTCCACTAGGTCACTGCCTCCTTTTTGCCACTCAGTGGTGCTTCAAGCCCAGATTTTCTTTGAATGTAGTAAACTATCAAAGCGCTTCCTGTCCCATTTCATGGGAAGTCCCAAAGGAAATATATTGGCAGTGTTGTAAAGCTGGCTAGTGTTTTTTGTCTAGGGGAACCATGGAACATACCTCCTCAAGTGTGATGCTGTGGAACAACTGCCATGATTTGTTGTCTCCTTTGGCTGAGTTACAGGGCAGGGTTTCCATAGCTGGGGATGGAAGACCCATTGACCCCCTGGTCTCTGGTTGTGCTCAGATATATTTATCCCTGTAAACACTTGCAATGCTTCCCACGAATTGAAACATGGATAGGTCTCCTGCTAGGCAACCCAAGAGATTGGGGAAGCTGATTGTTCATCTCCATCACATTATTCCCAGTACAGAAACCATGAGTAGGAGGAACATTTTTCACAGGCTTGGTGCCAGGCGGATTGGGGAGAGCACCATCAAAGACATAGAAGTCCAATTCTCTTACTCTCTGCTTAGTCTTTTTGTTTTGTTATGTTTTACTTCTCTGTGGCAGTAGGTACTGTCTCATCCTCATATTTGAGTTCTAGGATGTTTCTGGTGATAACCTCAGTGCTATATGTTTGTTTTGTTTTGTTTTGTTTTCTTCTGAATGGGAGTGAAGCCAGTTTGCTTCTAATGCTGCTATTTTGCAAGAAACTCCCAGTCTCTCTCAATTTTATTATTAATATAGGTATGTGTTTTGCAGTTGACTCAGGAATCAAATAGATCAGACAAAAATATGTAGTATGTACATTAAAGTAAAATATTAAAGCTAATGGTAAAAGCTAAAATATAAAAGTAGTAACAATAATTCTGAAAATGATCCTAGCAAAATGCAAAAAAAATAAAAATAAAAAATAAAAAGAACCTGAATGTGGGAGAGTAAAATTCATTAAGAACAAAATACTCTTTCATTTGGGCAACATGTTATTTCTCTAGTTTTTGCCTCTAATAACACCAGAAAAAAATTAAAGGAGATTTAGACTAATTTTTACACCAGTACAATATCAAAAAACTGATTTTTAATAAAAATGATCTAAGTGACAAGATAACAAAATATGGAAGTGTATATAAAGCTATACAAAGCTACAGAGCAACTTTGAGGGGAAAAATTTTCATTCTTTGATTAATAAGCTAAGGATTCCCAAGCTCTTTTGGTGCATGGCTATGTATTTCAATAAATTTCTCAGCACCCCTAAGCAAAAACAAAAGAAACTAATAGTTCTGTTCATTAACAAAATGATTCTAAATAATCTAAAAGTAATAGACTGTTAAGTTTTTTACAGGTGTCCCTGTATTTTCCTCAATAATATGTCCTGGAATGCTCCACTTTACAAATTCACTGTGGTACTCCAGGAAAGTACAGCAAACTGTTTGTCAGCATATGCTATCACCAGAAGCATATATAATTAGATTAATGCAGTACAAGTCTATTGTACTTTCTGTCCCTGATTTTTAAATCCTAGTCCACATTAATACCCAATGCTCTGAGAATATTTTAGTATCATACTACTGTCCTGTGGTAGTGCCTGTAATGACTTCTCCCTGTTTCTGGAATCAATTTCAAATTTTTCTCATGTCACTGGATTGCTGCAACCTTGCCTGAATGTTTTCCTGATGACTGCTTTCGCAGATATTTTTGACTCAAGCTAGCAGTTTAATTGTCCCCCAAACACTCCTTGATTATCTTATTTTCTGCACTTTTTCTCTTCTATGGAATGTGCTTCTCTGTCTCTTCTTCCTAGTGAAATAATAGCAAATATACTGGAAAATCAAGTTCTACTTGATCTGGACATCTTACTTGCTTAACAGATTATATTATGTATTCTCTCTAGCATAAATAATGTTCTTTTATTCATGTATTATATATTTATTTTATCATATAATACTGGTTTCTAGATACTGTTTGTTATATGTAGCTATTTATATGTTTTGATTCAAATGATAAGTATGGTCTTATCCAGGTACAAAGTACTAAAATACTGCATTGACAAAAAACAAAAACAAAAACAAAAAAAAACACTTCACTCTCCACATTTAGTAATACCCCATGCTCATATTGCAATCCTATTTTGCCTTCACTGATGTCATTAATTGAACTGTGTCTGGCAAAAAGTTACCTTAAAGTCCTAACCATCCATAAATAGGAATGTGACCTTATTTTGAAATGGGATCTTTGCAGATGTAATCAATTTAAGGTGACTTTATCAGAATGTTTTCAGATCCAATGTGATTCATGTCCTTAGAAGAAGAAGAGAAAATGTGAATACAGGCACACAGAGAGAAGATGGCTGTAGGAGGACAGAAGCAGAGATTGGAGTAATGCATCTAGTAGCCAAAGAATGCCCAAGATTGCTGGCAAACACCAGAAGTTACAATAGGCAAGGAAATTTCTCAGCTGCAGGTTTTAGAAAGAGTATTGCTCTACTGATACTTGTTTTCACAGTTCTGGATTCCAGAACTTTGGGACAATAAATGTCTGTTGTTTTAAATCACTCTGTGATACTTTCTTACAGTAACCTTAAGAAGATAATACAATTAGATTACAGGGAAACAATGAAAATAAGAAATTCTATTTCAAATTATGAAAAAGGAGTGATTTTTTAGTTGAATAAGGCCCTTGTAACCATTAGTAATTTCTTTTTCAATTTGTAAAACTACAAATAAGAATTACCTGCATCTGTATTGTAGTTTACAATCATTTTAATTATATATCGTGGGATTGTGGGATGCTGAATACTTCATGATATGTCACAAAAGGAACTTTTATCCTTTTGGCATGGGACTTGGGAATTTTTCTTTTCCTTTAGCTATTTTTAAAATTTTTCTTCTTTTTGTTTGAAATGGGCTCTCACTCTGTTGCCCAGGCTGGAGTCTGGTGGCCCAATCACAGCTCACTGCAGCCTCATCCTCCCCAGGCTCAAGCTATCCTTTACCTCAGCCTCCTCAGTAGCTGAGACTACAGATACACACCACCAAGCCCAGCTAATTTTTATACTTTTTTTGTAGAGATAAGTTTTCACTATGTTTCCAAGGCTGGTCTTGAACTCCTGAGCTCAAGACATCTGCCTGCCTTGACTTCCCAAAGTCTTGGGATTACAGGTGTGAGCCACGACACCCAACCAAGACTTGGGAAGATTTAATATCCACTTACTGATACTATGTATTAAATCCCCCTTTTTTGAAACTCACATAGTTTGTAAGCAAAAGACCCAGCAATTTTATTCTGATTGCTGATTTGAATCTGGGTGTTCTATCACTAGTACTCACAGTCTGATGTTTTCTAAAGATAAATTTCATCTCTTTTATTCTTATCATTAACCGAAAAGTACAAAAAGGATAATATGTTTCCCTAACTAAATTCAAAAGAGTCTGTATGTCTGAAATAATTATCGGATTTAATGAAATATTTGACATCATTTTTGTTAGAACACAGTGTTTGTTCCCTTAGATCTTGTATTAATCCTTCCTCATGCTGCTATGAAGAAATACCCAAGACTGAGCAATTTATAAAGGAAAGAGTTTTACTTGATTCACAGTTGCATATGGCCGGGGAGGCCTCAGGAAATCGAGAATCATAGCAGAAGATAAAGGGGAGGAAGTCACCTTCATCACAAGGTAGCAGGAGAGAGAATGAATGCCAGCAGGGGAAATGCCAGACACTTATTAAACCGTCAGATCTCGTGAAAATTCACTCACTTTCACAAGAACAGCATGGGAGAAACCACCCCCATGATTCAATTACCTCCTATTGGGTTCTTCCCATGACATGTAAGGATTATGGAGATTACAATTCAAGATGATATTTGGGTGAGGAAACAGCCAAACCACATCATTTTGCCTCTGGACCCTCCCAAATCTCATGTCCTCACATTTCAAAACACAGTCATGCCTTCTCAACAGTCCCCCAAAGTCTTAACTCATTCCAGAATTAACCAAAAATCCCAGTCCAAAATCTCATCTGAGGCAAAGCAAGTCCCTTTCACCTATGAGCCTGTAAAATCAAAAGCAAGTTAGTTACTTCCTAGATACTATAGGGGTACAGGCATTGTGTAAATAAACCCATTCCAAATGAGAGAAATTGGCCAAAACAAAGGGGCTACAGGCCTTATGCAAGTCAAAAATTCAATAGGGCAGTCATTAAACCCTAAACTTCCAAAACATTATCCTTTGACTCCATGTCCTACTTCCAGGTCACGTTGATGCAAGAGGTGGGTTTCCATGGCTTTGGGCAGCTCTGCCCCTGTGGCTTTGCAGGGTACAGCCCCCATCCCAGCTGCTTTTATGGCTGGCATTGAGTGTCTATGGGTTTTCCAGATGCACAGTGCAAGCTGTTATTGGAGCTCTCATTCTAAGATCTGGAGGACAATAGCCCCCTTCACATAGCTCCACTGAGTAGTGCCCCAGTGGGAACTCTGTGTGGCTTCAACCCCACATTTCCCTGCTGCATTGCCCTAGCAAAGGTTCTTCATGAGGGCTCTGCCCCTGCAGCACACTTCTGCCTGGACATCCAGGTGTTTTCCTGCATCCTCTGAAATCCAGGTGGAAGTTCCCAAACCTCAATTATTGTCTTCTGTGCACTCTCAGGACCAACACCATGTGGAAGCTGTCAAAGCTTGAGGCTTGTACCCTCTGAAACAATAACCCAGGCTATACCTTGGCCCCTTTTAGCCACAGCTGGAGCAACTGGGTCACAGGGCACCAAGTCCCTGGGCTGCACACAGCAGGCGGGCCCTGGGCCAGGCCCAGGAAATCACTTTTTCCTCTTAAGACTCCAGGCCTGTCATGGGTGGGGGTGCTCCAAAGGCCTCTGACATGCCCTGGAGACATTTTTCCCATAGTCTTGGTGATTAGCCTATGGCTCCTTGTTATTTATGCAAATTTCTGCAGCAGGCTTGCATTTTCTTAAAAAAATGGGTTTCTTTTTTCTACCGCATCATCAGGCTGCAAATTTTTCAAACTTTTATTCTCTGTCACCTCTTGAATGCTTTGCTGCTTAGAAATTTCTTCTGCCGGATACCCTAAATCATCTCTCTTAAGTTCAAAGTTCCACAGATATCCAGGGCAGGGGCAGGATGCTGCCAGCCTCTTTGCTAAAGTGTAGTAAGAGTGACCTTTCCTCCAATTCCCAACAAGTTCCTCATCTTCATCTGAGATCACTTCAGCCTGGACTTCACTGTCCATATCACTATCAGCATTTTGGACTAAGCCATTCAACAAGTCTCTAAGAAGTTCCAAACTTTCCCACATCTTTCTGTCTTTTCTTGCCCTCCAAACTGTTCCAATGTCTGTCTGTTACCGAGTTCCAAAGTCACTTCCACATTTATGGGTATATTTCCACCAGTGCCCCATTACTCAGTAACAATTTACTGTATTAGTCACTCTCACACTGCTCTGAAGAAATTACTCAATTGATTAACAGTTCCACATGGCTGGGGATGCCTCAGGAAACTTACAATCAGGGTGGCAGGCACCTCTTCACAGGGCGGTAGGAGAGGGAATGAGTGCCCACTTAAGGGGGAAGCCCTTTGTAAAACCATTAGATCTCATGAGGACTATCATAAAAGCAGCATAGGGGAAACCACCCCCATAATTCAATTATCTCCACCTGGTCCCGCCCTTGACACATGGGGATTATTATAATTCAAAGTGAGATTTGAGTGGGGACACAGAGCCAAACTGTATCAGAACTTATGCCTGTAATTCTAGTCATTCTGTCCTAGAAGTCAAATGCTGTTTTTCTAATGGTACATGTTATTATCCCGTTTATACTTTTACCTTACAATGTAACACATAATGCTCTCTAAACAGTCATACAGTATTCTGACTCTAATCTTTCCCAGAAATAAATGCCATGCCAAAATTTCAGGACTCTGCAACAGCAAATAGCAAGATTGTCTGGGTGCCCTAGGACAAAATCATGATCACTGCCACTGTGGAGTGGTATTTGTGCAAGGAAACTTTCTGTTTCTTCCAGCTGTAACTTCTTGAGTCGTAATTGTCATGTCAAGGGTATTTTGAAGACTGAGCTTCTTGCATGCATTCGTATAACACTTAAAATTAGAACTAATGGGCAGTTTTTAATTTTTATATTTAGAAAGATAATTATTTGTCTTCATATATTTTGATTCATTGTCTAGAACATTGTATTCATTTACTGCAAATTCTAGCTATAAAGAGGAAATGCAATACCAGAAAAATGAGAGGCTCTGCATGGTGGCTTATGCCTTAATACTAGCACTTTGGGAGGCCAAGGCAGGCAGATTGCCTGAGCTCAGGAGTTCGAGACCAGCCTGGGGAACATGGTGAAACCCCATCTCTACTAAAATACAAATAATTAGCCAGGTGTGGCAGTGGGTGCCTGTAGTCCCACCTACTTGGGTGGCTGAGGCAGAAGAATTGCTTGAACCTGGGAGACGGAGGTTCCAGTTAGCCGAGATCCTGCCACTGCACTCCAGCCTGGGCAACAGAGCGAGACTCTGTCTCAAAAGAAAAAAACAGAAAAAGAGAGAAAGGAAGGAATTAATAATATGCATTATCAATGTCACTCCATGCTATTAAAACACTCTTTCCCCAGGCCAATGGCATTCACTTAAACCATACAAAACCAGGTTCTTCAAAACATTTCTTTAGATTCATAAGCCTCATGTGGCAAACAATTCAGATAATTACAATAATGCTGTAATTGAGAGAATTTGTGGATGAGGTATCTGTAAATTGAGTAAATGAGTAATCATGCTTCAAATCATGGAAGAACATAGGAATGTAGCTATCTACATCTACATCCTGATCAAATGACCAATACACATTTCATTTGGAAACTCTGTTGTAGAAATATTGGCATCCGTTCAAATTCTATTTCATATGTGGTATGATATATAAAAAGTGGAACATTGAATCCCCCTTTATTGGTAGATTTCTATTATTAAGTACATAAGAAGTATGACTTAAGTTGAAGTTATTTTTCTCTGAGCTGAAAAGATAGACTTAACTTTTCCGATACTACACATTTAATACTTTTGAAAGATAAAGCAGAGTAATATCTAATGGCAAAGATCCCAGAATTAGACTGCCTGCATTTAATTTCTGGATCCCTCACATATTAGCCGTGTGCTCTTGAACAATACCTTGATATCTCTGTGCCTCAGTTTCTTGTTTGTAAAATAAAGATAAGAATGGTTGCTATTTAATAGTTATTTGTGATGAGTTTTAAAAGTATATATATTTAAAATAGTCAGAATATTGCCTATCAAATTAGTAAACACTATAACTCTGACCTATTATGACAATATATTCTGGGATCTATCAAAATACTGCTGTTAGGTGGAGTGTCAGAAAGGAAAATTGTGATGAAAAACAAACAAATAAAAAATGCAGAAACAACACCCTGCCTTGCCGTCTCTCACTTTGTATGCAAACAGATGTACAGTCATCTGTCAGTCATTGACTTAGAAGATGAACAGATGTCCATACCTTCCAGGAAGGATGCTAAATATTCAATCTCTCCCACAGTGGTAAAGCAGGTATTGTAGAAGGTTTTAACTCCTCCATAATCATCTGGTTCTAACTTACTTTTGATTTTGTTAAGTGATTGGAATTTTTGAGTCCCATACATTTTTAAGAATGGGAAATCTACACACTTTCCATTAAGTGATTAAGTAAAAGTGTCTCAATATTTACAAAAGCCCCATGATAAATTACAAATTAAATATCTAAGGATGCATTTTGTATACAAATCCCTTGAGAATATATTCTATTTAACTTGTCAAATTATTTGAATTGCAATCTATATATTTATAATTATCCTCCATCAAAATCTAAAAGTATATCATATTTTGTCTTTCTTAAATTTTTAGAGTAAACATAAATTTTCTTAAGGATAGCATATTTATTGACTACAACCTACTAAAATAAAGTATTTTGATATATTCAATCATAGATATACCAATGAATTTATCTATGCAGTAAAATAATTCTACCATCAATTGTAATTGCATTTAATTATTGTGTTGGCTCTGGTTTTATTTAATAATATTATATGTGATCTGACAGGTAGTTTCTGAGACCTTTTTAGGCAAGTAAATGTAAGAACATGCTATAATCAATTACCGTACAATCAAATTCATCACTGAGAGAACAAAAGTAATACCCATATTAGCTGGGTTAGACATTATAGAGACATAATGCAAATAAATATGGATAATATGAATGCATTAAAATAGCACATAAATTTATGTGGTTAAATATGAAAAAACAAAATCTTATATAACAGTAAGTAATGGATAACATTAAGAGTAAATTTCTTGGTTCACTGAATGCTAGCCTGTTTATGAAATACAAATTTAAGTCTATGATGATAATTGGGTACACACAAAATTGACTGTTTTTGAATAAGATGGAGGTATCTGTAGGCTTCTGCATATTACTTATTTTAGATTTTTCTTTTAGCTTTGCAGTTATACTGTTGGATATTTATATTTTCCATTATAAAATATAGTGGTTTAAAAATCACACCATTTAATTTATTAACCAGACCAACTGCAGACCCTCAAAGCATCCTCATGAAAATAAAAAATTGAAACAGAATCTGACTATTTTAACTAGGGATAACAAACCTAGAGGGAAAAAGCAAATCAAGCTTGAAGTTATGGTGATGAAATGCAAATCTGAAATTGCCTTTTGGTCTCTTAGGAGAAGAAATACAGGTAAGGGTAACGAGGGAGGAAGAAAATCCCTCCTTAGCAACCCAGATCAGCTGAATCAACTCTAGTATTCAGGGAAATGTTAAGTGTTGCAGAAAATTTCTCCTTACATCTAGATGGTCAAGATGCAAAACCATTCTTTTTAAAAAAAAAAATTACTTCAAAGTTTCAGAATGTTATAGATAGAGTAGAAGTGGAAAATCTACATATATAATAAATATCATTTATAACTTCTGCTCACTCATTCTTCTTGAGCCTCAACCCACGAACATTCATGACTCCATTTATGCCCTTATATCTGTTCAGAGTGTCTCAGCTTTTGATTCATCAACAACTCTGATTAGCATATATAAACATGAATGTTGTGAGGTCTTTTTTGTAGATTTAGTTATCTATGGTGTTCCATGCTTAGAGTACCATTCTGGCTAAGTTACCATGAGGTTGTCTAGCATAACCCCACAGTTCGAGTCAAGACAGAGAACAGCCTCTAAAAAGATAAAGATAAACAAATACTTCTGATTTTTGCACATTGATTTTGTATCCTGAGACTTTGCTGAAGTTGCTTATCACAAGGAGTTTTGGGGCTGAGATGATGGGGTTTTCTAAATATAAAATTATGTCATCTGTAAAAAGAGACAGCTTGACTTCCTGTCTTCCTATTTGAATACCCTTTATTTCTTTCTCTTAACTGATTATCCTGGCCAGAACTTCCAATACTATGAATAGGATTGAAAAGTTGAATAGTAGTGGTGAGAGAGGTCATCCTTGTCTTGTACAATTGTTCAAAGTTACAAGACTTCCAGCTTTTGCTCATTCAGTATGATATTGGTTGTGGGTTTGTCATAAATAGCTCTTATTATTTTGAGATATGTTCCATTAGTACCTACTTTATTGAGAGTTTTTAACATGAAGGCATGTTGAATTTATCAAAGGCCTGTTCTGCATTTGTTGAGATAATCATGTGGTTCTTGTACTTGGTTCTATTTATGTGATGGATTACATGTATTAATTTGCTTATGTTGAACCAGCCTCGCATCCCAGGAATGAAGCTGACTTGATCATGGTGGATAAGTTTTTTGATGTGCTGCTGGATTCAGTTTGCCAGTATTTTATTGGGGATTTTGGCATCAGTGTTCATCCAGGGATATTGGCATTAAGTTTTCTTTTTTTGTTGTGTCTCTTCCCGATTTTTGTATCAGGATGATGTTGGCTTCATAAAATGAATTGGGGAGTAGGAAGTCTAGAGGAGTCTCTCCTTTTAAATTGTTTGGAATAGTTTCAGAAGGACTGGTATCAGCTACTCTTTGTATTTCTGGTAGAATTCAGCTGTGAATCTGCTTGATCCTAGGCATTTTTTAGTGGTAGGCTATTAATTACTGCCTCATTTTCAGAATTTGTTATTGTTCTATTCAGGGATTCAGCTTCTTCCTGGTTTAGTCTGGATGGGGTGTATGTGTCCAGGAATATGTCCATTTCTTCTAGATTTTCTAGTTTATTTACATGGAGGTGTTTATGGTATTCTCTCATGGTAGTTTGTATTTCTGTGGATTCAGTGGTGATATCCTCTTTATCATTTTTTAATGTGTTTATTTGATTATTCTCTCTTCTTTATTATTCTAACTAGCGGTCTATTTTGTTAATTATTTCACACCAACAATAGACAAGCAGAGAGCCAAATCATGAATGAACTCCCATTCACAATTGCTACAAAGAGAATACAATACTTAGGAATACAGCTGACAACAGATGTGAATGACCTCTTCAAGGAGAACTACAAACCACTGCTCAAGGAAATAAGAGAGGACACAAACAAATAGAAAAACATTCCATCCTCATGGATAGGAAGAATTAATGTCATGAAAATGACTTCACTCCCAAAGTAATTTATAGATTCAATGCTATTCCCATCAAACTACCATTGACATTCTTCACAGAATTAGAAAAAACTATTCTAAATTTCATATGGAATCAAAAAAGACCTCGTATAGCCAAGATAATGCTAAGCAAAAGGAATAAAGCTGGAGGCATCATGCTACCTGACCTCAAATTATACTACAAGGCTACTGTAACCAAAAGAGCATGGTGCTGGTACCAAAACAGACATATAGACCAATGGAGCAGAAGAAAGACCTCAGAAATAACACTACACGTCTACAACCATCTAATATTTGACAAACCTGACAAAAACAGGCAATAGGGAAAGGATCTCCTATTCATTAAGTGATGCTGGGAAAACTGGCTAGCCATATGCAGAAAACTGAAACAGGACCCCTTCCTTACTCCTTATTCAAAAATTAAGTAAAGATGCATTAAAGGCTTAAATGTAAAACCCAAAACCATAAAAACCCTAGAAGAAAACCTAGGCAATACCATTCAGGACATAAGCATTTGGCAAAGACTTCATGACAAACTGCCAAAAGCAATTGCAACAAAAGCCAAATTGACAAAGGGGATCTAATTAAACTAAAGAGCTTCTGCACAGCAAAATAAGCTGTCATCAGTGTGAACAGGGAACCTACAGAATGGGAGAAAATTTTGCAATCTACCCATATGACAAAGATCTATTATCCAGAATTTACAAAAACTTAAACATATTTACAAGAAAAAAAAAAACGTCGAAAAGTGGGAAAAGGATATGAACAAACACTTCTCAAAAGAAGACATTTATGCGACCAAGAAACAAATGAAAAAAAGCTCAATATCACTGATCATCAGAGAAATGCAAATCAAAACCACAATGAGATACCATCTCACGCCAATCAGAACGGCAATTATTAAAAAGTCAGGAAACCATAGGTGCTGATGAGGCTGTGGAGAAATAGGAACGTTTTTACACTGTTGGTGGGAATGTAAATTAGTGCAACCATTGTGGAAGACAATATGACACCTCCTCAAGGATCTAGAACTGGAAATACCATTTGACCTAGCAATCCCATTACTGGATATATACCCAAAAGAATATACATCATTCTACTGTAAAGACATGTGCACACATATGTTTATAGTGCCACTATTTATAATAGCAGAGACGTGGAACCAACCCAAATGTCCATCAATGATAGACTGGAAAAAGAAAATGAGGTACATATATATCATGGAATACTATGCACAGTAAAAATGAATGAGGTCATGTTTTTTTCAGGAACATGGATGAAGCAGGAAACCATCAGCCTCAACAAACTAACACATGAACAGAAAACCAAACACATGTTCTCATTCATAAGTGGGGGTTGAACGTTGAGAACACATGGACACAGAGAGGAGAACAACACACACCAGGGCCTGTTGGGGGATGGGGGTGAGGGGAGGGAACTTAGAGGATAGTTCAATAGGTGCAGCAAACCACCATGGCACACAAATACCAATGTAACAAAAATTCATGTTCTGCACATGTATCTTTTTTTTAGAGGAAATAAAGGAGGAAAAAATGACAGAAATAAAAATTCATTTTATCGGCATAAAGGTCTTTAAGTAGTCAAAACCCCAGCTGAAGGAGAAGCAGGATTACTTAAAGAAAGGTCTTTGATAGGATAAGGTTTTGGCATTTTCCACCATCAATGGTTATTCATTTTGAGCAATTATTTAAGGGGAATATATAAACTTCAGAGCGTATAACTCAAACAGGTATATCAAACTTTTTCTCATTTTGTTCTTCAGCTTTTTACCCATGATTACTAAAGAAAAACATCATTAAAAATCCTTAAATTATTCAATGAGCACATTTTAGTACTTAAAATGTGCCACAAACCTGCAGGCTTTCAAAGGTGGAACAATATGTGAGCCTTCACTGCCATAGACAGTAGTGAAATATGGGTTGAAAATGCAAAAGTAATAAGTGCAAAGGTAGACATATGGTGCTGTGAAACCACAGGCCATCCTGAACCTTCACTTTTTTAGTAGAAGTTTTCTCTTAGATCATAAAGGATTATTATACATGCATGCCAAAAATAGGAAAAGGGAATTTTAAAGAGAATGCCAATATGATTAGAGCATGGAGCAGGAAGGAAATGTATCAGATTTAGCTGGTGGTAATAGGTCTCTCATTCCCTTTTAAGAAGATTTACATGTATACTGTGGGTTAGGAGGAGTCAATGGTAATTACGGGTTTCTCAAATATTTTTCTATTCATTTACATATACGGAAATAAGTGTGATCATGTTCTTGAACAATAGCTTTGGGAAACCTCCAGTTAGAGGCTCGATACAATCTATGGGATTGATCAGAAATGGCATTAACTGAGCCAGCAACTGGAAAAATTAGGTAGTGGGATAGATTAAAAAAATACCATCCAGGTATACTTGAATGGATGTGCTTGATATAGTGAGGGGGAAGCTGGAATGAAGGTTGTTTCTGAGGCTGTTGCACTGTTAAGAGTATCAATCGGGGATTAGAAAATACTTTATATTAAATATATCAAGCTAGAGGGAATCAAAGCAGATCATTCATTACATGGAGTTTGGTGGCCATCAGTGTAAAAACCATACACTGAACTGACTCAGAAATGAGTAGTTCCAAGAAACAGCTTTCACTCCAAGGATTGATGTAACTGAAGAATAGTAGAGTAATCAGAATCTAGGATTTTGAGGACGATGCCCACACGCTGGTGTTTATTCTTTTGGAGCAGAGCTCAGCACTATTGGTATTTGGACCTCTGAGGACAGCTCACCCTGCCTTGTTGCTGGTGCCTCTGAGCTAACTCAGGAAGGCAGACCCAGAGAGTACTGGAAGAAGCTAGGGGCTGGAGCCTATGGTCTGCTGCTGCAGAAGCTCTACAAAAAGAAGACCCTCTTCCCATGTGCCACATCTAAAGTCTCCTCTATGGCTCATCTGCTGCATCTCAATCCTTGTCCATGGCTTTCATTTGACAAAGCCTACCAAGAATTAAAAGGGTAAGGGGATGTTGAGAAATTAGATCTGCACAGGCCACCTTCAGTAATAAAGAATAGTGAATAGAAGATGGACTTGGAGATCAGAGACAACAAATAAATAACTGGCATAGTTGACACCTAAAATTGACATTTCATGAAAAAGGAAACCAAGACTGAAAGATAAAAAATTCAACACCGGACATGGTTGGTTTGAGTGAAGCGAGGTAGTATAAATTGGACTTAGGACCAGGCATTCCTTGATTTGTCGTGTGCGTAATCTTCCTTGGTTCTGCCTCTGCTAGCTTTTTGACCTTGGTTCAATAACTTATCCTCTCTAGCCTTTGGCTATGTCATTTGTAACATGGGGATAATAAGTATCTCCCTCATAGAGGTGTTTCAAGATTAAATAAGTGTGTGTGTTTGTATGTGTGTATTTATATAATACATAAAATTTTATGTAATATATGAAATCACTTAGAGTGATGAGTGGCATTAGAGAGAGTTAACTATTGTTATCATTTGAATGTCTTCCATTATAGAGAACTTTCCAAGCTAGGGGAAATGCATGATAGATTCCTGAAGAAAAAGCACACGATGGATAGATAGACATGTTGTCCATCCACATCTAAATTGTTGCTGTAAAAGACAGAGGTATTAGTAAATATCAGAAAACCAGGAAAGTGACTATATTAAGGGAAGTAAAGAAGAAGTATACCTGAAGAGGAAGAGGGTTATCATTAAGCTCCAATGATCAAAAAAAAAGTGAGAAGTCAAATAAAAAACAGGCAAAGTGACTTGAAAATTAGAAAAATGTTTGTGATATTCTTCCATAGCTCTTTAGGTGGAGTAGCGATGAAAGGCATTGCAACAGGCTGAATAATACTTGCCTGCAGTTAGATATTAATCTGGGGGATTGCCATGCTCAAAACTAAAAATGACACCAGTAAAATCAAACAGCTGGACTCAGGAAAGAAGTCATGTGGATCAGTGCCTCAAAAGAGGTGGAAAGAAGGTGACTAACAACTCTCATCAAAATATTACCTGTTCAAAATGGAAAGTATATATCCTTTGGAGAGAGTGGATTTTTTTTTTTTTTTGCCTAGAAAATAAGTTAAGGGACTTTTTTTTTTTGCCACAATAAGAATAGCAAATAAAGAAAATGGCTGCAAAAGCCTAGATTACAGATGGTTTTGTGCTTGGATCAAACTCGTGCAAGAAAATGAGTGAATGGAAGCTTTTGAGGGGGACATTGCAATAAGTCAGTGAGAACTGGATTTAAAATGTCAGTCCCACTATTTACCATCTGCCTAATTTTAAACAAGCTATTTAAACTCCCTGTGACAGCAAAAAAGGAATAATAATTCCTTTCTCATAGGAGTACATAAAGTACTTAGCACAGTTCTTGACACAAGGTAAGTGGTTCATTTTGAAAATGATAATGATGAAGATAATGATGATGATGATGACAACAATTATAATAATGATGCTGCTGATGATGAAAATGGTCAACCATGGTACCAATGTGGGTATGGATAAATGTAGATTCAGAGTGAGACTGATTTGCATCAGTAATTGGGAGTGACCAGTAGAATAAAGACATTTATAATATGTGAGTCATGCTCTAACATTTATTTGGCTGATTGGATTTGAATTAGATGTTTCAGTCTTTTGAACTATAGCTTCAACATGAGGTTTCTTAATTCATTACCATGCTTAAAATTTAGAATTCTCTTTAACCAAAAATAATTACATTATTTAATTAAATGGGGCTTTAAAAAATTGTATATATGATTTAAAATGTTTTAATTATAAAGTTAAGGCATAATACGTGTAATAAAGTACTATAAACAAAAGTAAATAGTATGAATATTTGTTAGTTACATCAATATGTGGCATGTCTCTGCAATGCATTCTTATTTTATTGCAAGTTAATTATTTGGTTCACAGAAGATTAATCCTTGGCATATCTTCTTTATTCAGTTGGCAATTTTTAGGAATAGAAATTCTGTATTCTAATTTTAATATATATTTATATGTTCAAATAAGCTTTGGAATATTGGTTATTTTTATAAAGCATATTAGTCTTTTAAATATTAATTTTTAAGAAGCTAAAAATCTACCCTAATATGTGCAGATACATTCCTTTTATATGCAAACAATTCATAAAACTGATAATGATTAAAATTTGGTGTTAATATAAAATAAAGCATAATACTCTAAAATATCAACTGCTCAGATTCTTGATTACATATATTTTCAAGATTTATTATAACAAATTATATAACATTTTTGGAGAATAGCTCAAAATTAGCAAACAAGATAATGCTTCTTGTATCGCTTTAAAAATCACATAGGAGCCAACATGTATTTGACAGCTGCAAGCAGGAAATTTATTTTATGTATTTCCTTCTTTATTTTATACAGGGAAAAAATACAGATTGTAAAATTTGGAGCCCAGGTACATTTAGTTTGAAATCAGCCTTTCATAATTTACATGGGATCTTGTGAAAATGATGTCTTGGTCCCATTTGTCTTCTACAAAAGGAAGAAATTTTATAGTACATTCCATGGTTATCTAAATATTAGATAACGTACACAGGTTGCTAACACATTTTTTTGCCTAATATTATAGTTTATTCTTATTCTTGTAAAATATACATAATACAAAATTTACCATTTTAGCCATTTTTATCTATGGCCATATGTACATTTACCCTGTTATGAAGCTATCACCAATCTCCATCACCAGAACTCATTCATCTTGTCCAAATGAAACTCTGTACACATTAAACATTAATTCCCTATTCCCTTCTCCAGCCCCTGGCATCCTCATTCTGTTCTTGTCTCTCTGAATTTGACTACTTTAAGTTCCTTATAATTAAAATCATACCGTATTTATATTTTTGTGACTGGCTTCTTTCACTTAACGTGTCTTCAAGGTTTATCCATATTATAACTTGTGTCAGAATTTCCTTACTTTTTAAGGCTGGGTAATAGTGCCTTGTACATATACACCACATTTTGTTTATCCATTTTTCTATTGATGGACACTTGGTTTGCTTCCACTTTCTGGTTATTGTGAATAATGCTGCTATAACCATGGATTTACAAATATCTGTTTAAGTACTTGTTTCTATTTCTCTGGAATATATACCTGGAAGAATTTCTGGAGGATAGATAATTCTACATTTTTTTAAGGAATTGCTATATCATTTTCCAAAGTGACTACATCATTAATACTTCAACCAGCAATGTACAAGGGATCTAACATTTCAACAAAATGCCAACATATTATTTTCTTTTTTTCTAATGATTCTCAGTCATTCTAGCGGGTAATATGTGGTATCTCTTCATGGTTATTATTTCCCTAATGATTGGTGACATTGAAGAACTTTCCATGTGTTTATTGGCCATTTTTGTATCTTCTTTAAAAAATATCTATTCACGTCCTTGATTTATTTCTTAATTGGATTGTTCATTTTTTGTTGTTGTTCTCATTGTTGTTCTTGTTGCTGATTTGTAGGAGTTTCTTATATATTCTGGATACTACTCCCTTGCCAGATATGGGATTTGCAAATATTTCCTTCCACTCTGTGGATTCCTTTTTCATTCTGTTGATAGTGCACAAAAACCAATAATATTGATAAATTCTAACTTCTTTATTTTTTCTTGTGTTGTTGTGATATCATATCCAAAAAATCATTGCCAAATCCAATGCCATGACAATGTTTCCCATGTTTTCTACTAATTGTCTTGTAGTTTTAGGGCTTATATTAAGGTCTTTGATCAAGTTTTAATTAAATTTTGTTTATGCTTTAAGGTTCTAATTTTATTCAATTTTTATTTGCTTGCATATATTCAGTTTTCTGAACACCATTTATCAGTGCAAGAATTCAACAGATGAGTCTTCATTCCTTTCTGTTTCCTTTTCATTTCTATTTTTATTGCCTCTACCATTTTCCTCTTCTCCCCTTCACTTCTCATTACTTCATTCATTCTCTTCTTCAGAAAGTATTTCTTGCGTGCCAACTTGGTATATGGTACTCTTCCAGACACTATGCATCACACGGGAAAAAAAAATAGATAAATTTAGTACTAGCATGGGACTTAGAATCTAGTGGGAAGGGGGATAGTGTCAGAAAATAAAGTTGTGTGTATGGAATATGTAATGTGATGCATGTCATTTTAAAATGCCATATAAGGTAGAGAAGTATGGTGGCCATTGTTCTATTTTACGTTAAGTCACAGGAGGTATCTTCTTAGATGGAGTAATATTTAAGCAGAGACCTTAAGGAAGTTAAAGAGTGAGCTCTGAAGATATCTACAGAAGGAATTGTAAGAGGAAATATCCTCAGAGAAGAATTTGGCTATGTGAGAACCAGTAGGGGGTCCAGTGAGGTGAACAGGCTTGGGTTTGCTTTATAAGATAAAGTCAAAGAACTAAGAGTGACCAAGGTATGCCAGGTTTAGTAGTCACCATACAGTCTAAGGACTTTATTCTGAGTGACATGGGCAGGCAACGGAGTGCATTGAACAAGAGTGGCATAATATAAGTTGTGTCCCAAAGTAATTTTTGTGAGTGCTGTGTTGTAAATATACTGGGAGCCCAGGGGGAAGGCTGCATACAGATTGATCACGTAGGATGCTACCGTACTACTGCAGGCTAATATATAGTGGACTGTGGATGAAGATGTTGGCAGTGAGGCTGCTAGAAGGTGATCTGATAAAGTATGTACTTTGAACATATTGTTGACAGGATTTCCTATTGAATTTGATATGGCATGTGAGATGAAGAGAAGAATCCAAAATCACTCCAAGATTTAGGGACTGAGATATTGATGACTAGAGTTGCTATTTATTGGAAATTTTTTAGTATTTCTTGAGAGATCAAACTGAGACGGAAATATAGCAAATACACTAATGATGGAGTAAGATAAATGTGAATGTTGTAACTAACTCAATTGGTAGTTTGGATATGATGGTGACCCTGAGGTCTGAAGTCTACTTCTTTGCTTTCAGGCAAGGAAGGCTTATTTTAATAAGGTAACTGAGGACTAGCATGCCTAAATAAGTTGTAGGAGATTATACACCTAGTTAAGAATTGGAAAGGAATCCTGGTCCTAGACAGTGCCTCTTGCATTAGAACACACAGTCCCTTTTTCTCATATTCACATTCATTTTCTGATCTTGTGATTTCCAAGGAGAATGTATTTCTTTGATTGCCTTCAACAATGGGAAAGGAAAAATGTAAAATATCTTCAATAGACCAACTAATTATGAAGACATAAAACAATACACAGTGCTTGCTGTATATTTAACTTCAGTTCAACCCTAACAGAATCACCCTGTGGTGTGAGTTGCTTGGAAAATTACAGCAAGCCAGACACATAACCTTATAGTCATTTTCATTATTTCTTATCACAGAAACAGTGATATGCAGAGGCAGAATGACAGTTTTAGCTGCCTTAACCTTGTATTAGAAAAGAGTCATCGTTTTCTTTTTGTGATTGTTGAAAAGGAGTACAAAAATAAAACAAAATAGGAGAGATTTTCAGAGCTGCATTGTAAGAGAAAGTTACAGTGAATAAGACTTGTATTTGATTTTATCATTCACACCAGGGAGATTTCTTAGATTAAGAATAGTACTGCTGCTGATTTGGGTACAGGCAAATAATCAAATCGTAACAAATTATTTTTTTGTTTTACCTCGGATGTCAGTGCCTGTGCCTTAAAATATATTTATTAAAGCCCTCATCTATAATTAGGGAAATTTTGTTCATATGATTTTTGAAGATTTATGTCACTAGATTAGTCATTCCTCAGGTGAAAATATTTTTGAAAGTCAATAACTTTCATAGCATTACACTATTTCAGTGCCCTGGAGTTCTGTCTCATTTGTTCCCAAGGATTTAAGAACACTGATGTTTCTAAATGTCACTCAAGCAAGAAAATGCTTAGAATTTAGTGTACATATTTTCGTGTAAGTCATTCTTTCATTACCTACCATAAAAATAATTGAAATTATAAATTTTGAGGAAGATTCATTAGATAAAATCAATATTACTCAAAAGAACCATATATCTAATGAGGAATGAATAACTTGTCTTACAGTTTATTTGCTCATTTCTTTGGTGCATAGTTACTGAGCTGACATTTAATGCAAAACAGTCTGCTTGGTACAAGAGTAACAGCATTGAGTACACAGTCTCTGGATCCTAGGAGCTAAAAGTCTAGTTAAACAGAAAACTATATGCAAGTGAATCCATGTGAAATGTGCTAAATGCTATATTAAAGATAAACAAAAAGATTTTGAATATACAAATCATAAAATAACTACTTATGGTAGATGATGGTGCAATGTCATCAAAAGCTACAGATTTATTTTTTCATTGAATTGCTTTGTTTTTTCTTCTTTTTTTCTGCTATATTTTTTATTTCTCCTGTATTTGGAGAATATCGTTGCCTATTCTAGCCATGACTAAGATAAAATGGTAAGAGAAAATATACATATAAATGTGTAATTTATTAAAATTTTATTAGTCAAGTTGAATTATTATTAAAGTCATTTTTCTAAATGAAATAGCCCATTATTCTGGTAAATCTGTTATACACATTACACGGAATAATTATCTTGGAACTAAACTACTGAGGGAATTTTAAAAAGCGGTTCTGTGTACATGAATCTAAGGTTATTTTGATTTCTAAAAATAAATTTATCCCAATAATAACAATAACAACAATAGTAATGATAGCTAACACTTAGAATTAGCTCTATGCTAGACACTATTCTGAGCCCTTTACATATAGCAACTGTTTTAATATCCACAATGGATGATGTTAGTTGTAGTTAAGGTCCATTATAATGAAGTAGATGCTGTAATTATCTTCATCTTACTGATGACCAAACTGAGGACCCAGAGGGAGAACTAATATAAGAAAGATCAAGGATTAGCCTTAGGCAACAGGGTTCCAGAACCTATACCCTTCAGGTTAAACTATCCCATTATATATACATCCCATTCGATATAGAGACCTTGAGTATAGAGATCTTGGGCTGTTTTTGCTACTATAACAAAATACTTAAGACTGGTTAATGTACAAAGAAGAGATTTTTTTTTTCCCTCGCAATTCTATAGCTATAGAATCTAGAGTCCAAGGTCAAGCCACTAGGATTTGGTATCTGATGAGGGCCTTCTTGCTAAGTCCTCAGATGGCAGAAGGCAGAGAAGCAAAAAGCCCTACCTCTAGCCATTTTATAAAACAAGAATGGATTAATGAGGTTGGACCCCCTCATAACTTAATCCCTTCTCAAAATGCCCCATCTTTTTTTTTTTTTTTTTTTTTTTTTGAGATTTAGCTCTTGTTGCCCAGGCTGGAGTACAATGGCATGATCTTGGCTCACTGCAACCTCTGCCTTGTGGGTTCATGCAATTTTCCTGCCTCAGTCTCTTGAGTAGCTGGGATTATAGGCATGCACCACCATACCCAGCCAATTTTGTATTTTTAGTAGAGACGGGGTTTCTCCATTTTGGTCAGGCTGGTCTCAAACTCCTCACCTCAGGTGATCTGCCCACTTGAGGCTCCCAAAGTTCTGCAATTGTAGGCATGAGCCATTGCACGCGGCTGAGGATTAAGTTTTAACATAAATTTTGGGGACATTCAAACCCTCAACCTGAGGAAATGATAAATTTTTAGGTGCCCAATTTACAAGTGAAGTTGAAGTGATATGAAAGCAAAAAAAAACAAGTTATCGAAACTGTATAAAAATCAATAATGTTCTCTTGGTTTTGCTATTATCCCTTAACATAAGACAGTATTTGGAAGGAGTGAAATGCCACTTTCGCCAGTTCAAATTTTTCTTCCCAGATTTAAATAATTTTCAAAGACAGATTTGTAAAGATAGATAATCCATGCACATTTTCTTTGTTCTGGCAATTTCACAGGCCTAACAGCAATTTATGTTGCCATACTTAGGGATCCTTATATAAAAGTGCAGTTTGAGACAGAGCGAGGAAAGAATACACTTTGAAGCCAAGAAAACATGGATTCAGATTATGACTTTGCAAGTTACTATGTGGCTTTAAACATGTAACATCAAACCACTGAGGCTCGATATTTTTCAGCCTTATGATTAGGCATTGACACTGCCTGATAGCATGCTTATTTGAAAATTTAATATGAGAAGACACAAACATAATGCTTTAACGCAAGCAGGCCCTGGATAACTGATAGTATTGTCAATAGGAAGCAGTGTAATTATTATTATTGGTGTTGTTCACTTGAATACCATGAAGCTGCCATTTCCACAGGTCAAAAACTGTATCTATGTTACTGCGTATCAAACCTCACTAAATTCAGCAGTTCGAAGCAAGACTAATTTCTTATTTCCTATGATTCAGGGGATCATCTGGGAAATTATTTTGGGCCTTGAGGTATTACCAGGGCTCACTGGAGTGGTTGCCTCAGTTGAGAACTCAGTTGGGGCACATTACTTCTCCTTCATGAGATCTCTCATTCTAAGTAGGGTCTCCTCCCAAAAGGCCTATTAGTGCATCCTCCTCTCTGCAGCAAGATATCCTGGGATTAGATATTTCCTGCAAGCTGGATGCCAAGAGGAGTTCTTTTAAGAGGGCATTCCCAAATATACAATTGCTCTTCAAGATTCTGTGCATTCTATTTGTGGATGTCACATTGATTAAAGAAAATCACATAGCCAAGCCCCCAAAAATATGGGAGGAGCAACTGAAATGTATGAATACTAGTATTCCTGTAAGAGTTCAGCACACTTTTGATTTCATATGAGTTGAGCCACATTGGTTGGAGAAACTCTCTAGAAGTCTACATTTGTGTAAGGAAGTGTGCACCTTGTGGAATTTAAGATGTACCAGGAGAAGTTCCTTCCTTTATCTTAGATATCTGTCGTCAAAGATCAGTGATCCATGAATAGAGAAGCAAAAGTACAGCATGAGTGAAGGAAACAGAAGAGAGTATGGAGAAGCTCACTGGTTTCATATAACGCATTGGTGAATAATCAGTGTAATAGTTATATCAATGATCCGTCTATATCCCCACAGTTAATTTTTTTCATGTCTATCGCGGGATCTGGCCAGCAGCCCGCAATGCAACGGAGCTCTCTCTTTGTTCCTAGGTGGATCGGCAGGTTGAGAAATAATAGACACAAGATAGTGAAAGCTGGGTCCAGGGGGGTCACTGCCTTCTGGCCCCATGGTGCCAACAATGCACTGGATATACCAGCACTTACTATTAAGTTTAGTGAGGGCAGGGGTAGGTTAGTGAGGGATTTAGGTTCATTTGATTATGAGGTAAGATGGTCACATGGGGATGAAGTAATTCTTTAACATAACATTTGTGTGTAGAAGTACGGTACATTTGTATGTAGAAGTACACTATACAGAGATAAGAATTTACAATTTAGTGTGTGCATCAGTAATTTCTAACAGAGCCTTAAAACAGAAACACAATCTTTCAATAACCTACGATTAGCAAGATATTAATCAGCAGTAACAGTTGCAGCAAAAGCTGGTTACAAACAATCCATAGAAACAGTACATGAAGCTAGACAACTGGTTAGACTAGAAATTCTCAGAAGGGAGTATGCCTTAAACCTAAAGAGACCTAGAAGAGCTGTGGCAAGATGAGGGTGTTTATAGCCCTATCTTATCCATATGGACAGGTGCCCCCGCCATGAGTCCATTCATAGGCTCTCCACAAGGGTGGCATTCCATTCCCAGAGCTATGAACATCTGCTTTTCTGGAATAGGAATCTTGGTGATGTGAAACCTCCCTGACTGCATGTCCATTCATAGGCTCTCTGCAGGGGGAATCACATCATGCACTGTTGGCGCATTCTGGCAGTCCAACCTGGCATTGTCTTTACACAATCCTGCATTCAATTTTGTATTTACAATAATCAGGAGCATTTCATATTTTATTCCATAGCAATAGTTTCAGGGGGTCTTCCTACACATGTCTATGTACACCAGCATTGCTTCTAGTGACTTTTCCCTCCAACAGCCAGCTCCTACATTTGTTTTACAGAGGGCTGCCCTCAGGCTGCCAGAACCTATTGGTGCTCAATCAAAGAGAAATGGAGACCCTGCCTGTCTGTCTTCACCTTTAGCCAATTATTGAGAGCTACAGGGATAAAAATGGGCCCTGATTCAAAGAATTTTGAGATATGACCTGCATTGTCTCCAAATCTCCAAAGTTTGTGAGATTGCATCAAACTTTTACTTGGTGTGGCTTTGCTTGACTCCCTTGGTTTATTCCCTTACCAGTCCCATGTCTTGTCTCCCTGACCAATTGTAATCCCACTGGCAGTTCTTCCCAGTAAATAACTTCTATATCAGTCCCTGTTTCAAGATCTGCTTCTGGAGAATAAAATTGTAACCTACTGGTGACAGTAGTACACAATTTAGTCAGTTTTTGCTTTTCCGTTTGTAAGCTCTAACAACTACATTGATAATAAGTGAAAACAAACTAAGTACTTCGCAGTTTACTTAATAATCCCAAACTTCTGAAAAATATCTGTGGTTTGTCTTCCTTTAATTCTAGAAACACTCCCTGGTTTTGACATAATGTATTCTTAATGTCAGGTAAGTTTGAAGAAGTTCTTTAATCTCTCAATCTGTGTTCTCAACTATGTTAAAGTGAGGTAATAAAATTTTTCTTGCAAAATTATTGTTAGAACCAGCAAAAATTCATGGAAGCTTCTTCATATTTAGTATGTGCTCAGTAAATGTAGGCTGTTGCCAATGTTTTTCTTAATATTATTATTTTGTCTTTACTATAATTAAAAATTCACTTTCCTCTAACGTACATAAATTATTTACCTCTTCACGATGACTTAAAACTCACTCTACTATACATTTTTTATATTGCTACTAGTTTATTTAAGTTTAGACTATGGCTTCTGCCTTCTGGAGAAGATATCCACTAGGTCTTACCTGTCCTTTCCCTTTTGAGTGACTGTCAACTCCCTCTTGAAAGTAATAATTAATGCAGCTGTGTCCATAAGCAGTCATTCAATTGCAAGAACACATGACTTATTGCCTGAAAATACAAGTAGAAATTTTTGTTCTGCCACTTAACTTTTTCTCTGCAGTGCCTCCATGGTCTCATCCGTGAAGGGTAAAAATATCCCCACCCTCTGGTTATTTTGTATGACTCAAATCTACATGGAAATGCTTTGAGAACTGCAAATTACAACGTAGGGGAAGGTATTATTAGTGTCTGCATACCCCCACTGTTCTTACACATTTTCCACTCACCATTTTGCCACCTGGTGTGTGAGAAAAGCAGGACACTTATTACTTTAGAACAAAAAAAAAAAGAAAGAAAGAAAGAAAGAAACTCTATTTACACTAATTATTGAAGAAGTTTACTCTCACACCTGCTCTGGGTATTTCATGTTTTTTTTTTTCTTAATTAGAACTGAAAAGAAGCTACTTAGTTTATCTTTAATTAGCTAGCAGTGGAAAGGAAAATATTGTTGAAAATGAGAAACAATGATGTTTTTAGTCACGATTTCCAGAGAAACAGAACCAAGAAGAAGGGTGGCTAGATAGAGATGGATAGATACATAGATAGATAAAAAGAAAGAGAGATTTATTTTAAGAAATTGACTTATGTGATTGTCGAGGCTGAGAAGTCCCAAAGTCTGCAGTTGACAAGCTGGAGACCCAGGAGATCTGATGGTGTTAGTTCCAGTTTGAAAGCCAGTAGTCTTGAGCTCCGAGAAGCACCCATGTTTTAATTCAAGTCCAATGTCAAATGCAACAAATAGTATCTGAGCTCAAACATTCAGACAGGAGGAGTTCCATTTACTTGCTTTTAACTGAGAAAGAGTCATCCTTTTTGTTCTAATCACACCTTCAAATGATCAGAGGAAGTCCACTCACATTAAGGAGGTGTGTTAGTCTTTTCTCGTGCTGCTGATAAAGACATACCGAAGACTGGTCAATTTACAAAAGAAAGAGGTTTAATTGGACTTATAGTTCCACGTGGCTGGGGAAACCTCACAATCATGGTGGAAGGCAAAGAGGAGCAAGTCACGACTTACATGGATGGCAGCAGCAAAGAGAGAATGAGAGCCAAGCAAAATGGGTTTCCCTTTGTCAAACCATCAGATTTCATGAGACTTATTCACTACCCTGAGATCAGTATGGGGGAAACCACCCCCATGATTCAATTATCTCCCACTGGGTCCCTCCAACAACACATGGGAATTCAAGATGAGATTTGAGTGGGGACATGGCCGAACCATATCAGGATGGTAATCTGCCATGCTCAGTCTACCAACTCAAACATGAATCTCCTCCAGACACACCCTCACAGACACACCTAGAATAATGTTTGACGAAATGTCCAGACTCCCTGTGGACCAGTTAATTTGACACATAAAATTAACCATCACAACTCATGAGAAGAGAAAAAAAAGAATAGCTATAAATATTGCGAGTTGTTTGCATTGAATGTTATATACTCATATTTTCAAGTTAATGGTATGTTCTCAAATGGATTCATATAGAAAGGAACTAAATGTAAACAAAATTCTTTGGTTCTCCCATTTTCCCAGCAGTCTCTTACTGGATGCCATGATAATAAGGCTTAGATCTTAGCAGATGGGCTATCTATATTATGCCCAGTGTGTACTTCCACCAGTACTGCCCTCTGTAGGAAAATTGCGTCAGTATTAACAGAATTTTGAAACTGTTACTACTGCATTTTTAATATGTTTCAGCAAATGAAACCATAGAGGAAAACAACCTCATGTTAAATTACTTGATGTGCCTCACAAGTCAAATATTATTCATCATCTGCATCTTTAAAAAATTTATAAATGTTTCTGTATTAAAATAAGAAATGGAGAGAAACCCAAAATTCAAAAAGTGAAACACAAAAATAAGCTTATTTTTCTAAAAGGAATTACTTAGAATAATTCTCTGTTATAATATCAGAGAAAAAACATTTCTGTTGGTTTTTAATATATATCGATATTTTTCTAGGGCTGTGCAAACATTTTGCAAATTAACTTACAAGCACCTCCTAGGCTGAAAAGTTAATTTGTTTCTGCAAAATAAGATGGGCTAATTTTTAGCTAGCAGAGATAGGGTCCTTCTAAACTAAAGAACTTCCAAGTCACCATTTAAATCACTGAATTAAAATAACCACATGGAGCAAGAAGACAATTTATAGGCCACATCTGTCTTGTAAAATTATATAAAGCAAAAACTGTATTTAAATATTTTCCAAATACATTCAACTCAGTATTTTACCCTACTTATATTAAATTAAAAGTAAGGACTTTGTGCAGAATTTACTTAAAGACTCAGAAAGTACAAATTCACAGATCTATTGTAACCTTATGAAAGAATAAGAAAGTAACTGTGGAAAGAATGATTTGATCCGTGAAAAGGCTACAAAGGTTATAACAACTAAAACTATTATGTCCACTTTCTTTTAACTATGCAGTCATTAGAAGCAAGTCGTATCAAGAAAAAATAATTAGCTTGATCAGTGAGAAATGGCAAGGGTTGATTTGTATTTTATGCTGCTAAAGGAATTCTTTGTCATTAAATACAAGAAAAATATCAGATATCAGAAATATGAACTATTTTGAAAACTAGTCATATTGGTTAGGGTAACATTCCTTATTGCAGGTACATCCTCAACACCTGGTGACTTAGCACAGTTGTTCTAACCTGACCCAGATCGGTGAAGTCCCAGAGAGGCTTGACTTGATGGAGTCATTTGAGCATGCATGTAAAACTGCGTCTTGCAGTGGTCCTTCTGTGTTCCTCAGAAAACATTCAGGTCAGCCCTGAATTATGCAGATGGCTGACTAGGTGGGGAGAAAGGGTTGTTGGGGGAAAAAGATGAAGGCTTTTCCTCTTAAACTGCTCTGGAATTGAGGTAATACATAACTTCTACTCACATTCACTTGATGGAAAATAATCATATAGCTTGTAATGGTTAATACTGAGTGTGAACTTGATTGGACTGAAGGATGCAAAGTGTTGATCCTAGGTGTATCTGTGAGGGTGTTGCCAAAGGAGATTAACATTTGAGTCAGTGGGCTGGGAAAGGCAGACCCACCCTTATTCTGGGTGGGCACCATCTAATCAGCTGCCAGTGAGGCTAGAATATAAAGCAGGCAGAAAAATGTGAAGACTAGACTGGCCTAGCCTCCCAGCCTACATCTTTCTCTGGTGCTGGATGTTCCCAGCCCTTGAACATAGGACTCCAAGTTCCTCAGTTTTATATGTATCTATATATCATATTAGTTCTGTCCCTTTAGAGAACTCTTACTAATACAAAGCTCTACAGGGATGCCAAAGCAGCTCGAAATTAGAGGCTAGCTGTATGCCCAGGGAGAAAAGACTGGCAATGCTACTAGACAATCTTCAAACTTTGGCAAACCTATTCAAAGAGATGTTCAATTATAGCAATTAGGATCCACAGGCTCTTTGGTGATGATTGTCTTATGACATAAATTTTAAATAGAAGGAAAGGTAACAGTATCAACCACAAGAAACTTTACTTGACCTTTAATTTTATCAGGAAAAATAGGAGGCAGCAGGAGAGAGGTGGCTGGGTTCACTGGGTCATCACTTCTATTGTCAGGCTGGTGAGTATGGGGTTTTTAGCACCTGATCTGGAATAGGTTGCTTATGTTTCCTCCTCCTCCTGCTCTCTTTCCTCTCTCTGTTACTCTTTTTCTTTTCATTTTTCTCCTCTGTTAGCTCCAACTTCTATGCCTTTCCTTTTTCTTCCTCTTGTTGGCATTACACTTCCTCCCCTACCCTCTTTCTCGGATTCTCATTAACACTATGACTTAAGTGTATTCTTAGGCAAATAACCCATTCTTATATATCTTGAACAGACACAGTCTAGACCATATTGGTCACAAAATAAACGTACTGACTTCGGTAGATAAAAGAAAGATTTCTCATTGCTTTTCTAGTATTTCACGGTGTATAAAAATAGAACCTAATTTTATTTTAAATGTGATATTTGCTTATTGCAAAAAAAGTCAACATTATATAACAATATGTTGTAAAAACACAATAAAAATATGAAAACCGTCTCTAAGCTTATCACTCAGAGATCGTTATCATATACTATTCTGGCAAACATCCATGCATGTTTTCATCATGTCTTTGCTGTTCTTTTTATTATAATGGGATCATATTTACCGATCATTTTACACACAAATTGTATTTTTCATTGGAAGTATATGGTTGACATATTTTGTTGACATATTTCAAGGTTAAGAAATATCAATCTATATAGTTGTACTGGCTGCATAGCTTATTATTTTTCTCAAGGCTTTAAATTAGCATGTTTGACTAGGTTAACATTTGTTGTCCCCAAAAAAGGTGAATAAATTTGGTTGTTTCTAATTATTTCATAATTTGATTTAATAGCATGTATTTTTGTTCTCCTCAATGGCATTTGAAACATCTGAGTGTATCTGTGTTACCTTTCTTCTGCTGCAGCACATAAAGCAGTACCTAGCATACAGCAGTTGCTCAATAACACGTATTACGCTGAATTGAGTTTATGTAACTGTTTTACAAATATGTGACCCAGGGCTGAGAGTAGAGTAGAGCTTGTGCATGCTTTCATGCTATAATAAGCTCATCTACAGATCCTTATTTAAATGAGCAAATGCATTGTATATTATTTAAAATTAAAACACTTAATAAATTATTCTTGAAAGATGGCACTGACAACGATGCATTTTGTTAATCTATTAGAATTCCATTTATAAAACTAAAAAGAACAGATAGGAGTTCATTTCATTCTTTTCTCTTCTTGCATATGTTTTGAAATATTTTATTAAAAAGTTCTGTGGGAAACTTTCTCTTGACTACTTTTAAAATAAATTCTATTACATTATGTTATCTTTGCTTTTCATTCCTAAAGTGGTAAATATAATTTCCCCACATCATGGCTTACTTTGTACATTTAATCATGTTAGCATTAATTCTCAATTTCAGTTATGTTCTCAAAGGTTTTAGCCCACTACTACATAGATTAATCTCCTTAAAAATCGTAATATTCTCTAAATTCAATAGTGATAAACTATTCCATATGAATGAAAATATTCTATCTATAACCCTATTTGTCTTAGTGAATAAAATGTTTATTTTAAATTTATTACATATGCTCAGCTTAGAAATCCAGAAATAATTTCTGTAAATTTCAGCATTCTAATTTCAGTTATTCATAATAACTCAACATCTTTGTTCAAGATTCATGCCCTTTTTGTCCCTGCTAATCTAATCTACATACTCTAGTCAGTGATATTTTTAAATGCAAATCTGACTGCGAACCACCTGCTAAAAGCCATTTCTATGGCTAGTTTTCTTGCTATAAACACAGAGGTACTTACCTACATTTTCTAGCCCCTTCAGACTTTCTCAGCCTCATCTTACCGACCCTCCAGCTTCAAACCTGCCATCTAGATTGCTTTTCCTCCTTTGAAACTCAGAACCTTCTGTCTGAAAGCTCTTCTCAGGAGGTCTTCTCGTTCTTTCTTAAGTATTTATGGGAACATAGTTTCAAGATCACTTACTGGGACTGGGTCGTTGACTTCCGAGATTTGCTTTTTAGTTTCCTTGATGTATACATTTCTAATACCCCATAATTTTGGTTTAGAGCAATTGTCACAATCTGTTATTATGCATGTATTTTGCTACCTACTATTTATAAATGTTTATCCCCTGCATTAGATAATAAGCTCCATGAGGGCAGCAGCCATGGGGGTTCCACACTTTAATCATTTCCCACTCACTAGGTCAGTGGTTCACATTAGCCTCTTGCAGATCTGTTGGCTGAAGAATTTCTGAATATTCTAGTTGTTTGTGTTTAGTACTTTTATTAGACAATGGATATTTCTTTCTTTCTTTCTTTCTTTTTTTTTTTTTGAGACGGAGTTTCACTCTTGTTGCCCAGGCTGGAGTGAAATGGTGCGATCTCGGCTCACTGCAACCTCCGCCTCTCGGGTTCAAACGTTTCTCCTGTCTCAGCCTCCTGAGTAGCTGGGATTACAGGCATGTGCCACCATGCCTGGCTAATTTTGTATTTTTAGCAGAGACAGGGTTTCTCCATGTTGGTCAGGTTGGTCTTGAACTCCCGACTTCAGGTGATCCGCCTGCCTTGGCCTCCCAAAGTGCTGGGATTACAAGTGTGAGCCACCATGCCTGCCGACAATGGATATTCCTTTAAGAAAAATCACTTATAATCCTGCTTCATATATTTTTGTAATCACTGTTTCAAGAATCCTTTTTCTCTCCCTTGTTCCCTCAATATTTTTTTTTAGATAAACAGTGGCAAGTTGAGCAGAACTTATTCAATAACTGAGTTCACAAGAAAACCACTGTGGCCTCATAAGTCACACTTTAAATTCTGTCATTTAAACTAAATGGATCCCAGGACTCTCTAGAAACACAGTTTCAAAGACATTTCAAAATTGCGACTTGTGGAAGCCACAATAATTTTTAAAAGAAATAATGTAAAAGTACACGTGAAAGCAAATGAGAAGAGCATAACAATTATAGTGGAACAGGGAAAAAGGCAATCATTCATGAATATGTACTGGTAATGTAGATTTGCATGCTACTAAATCTTAACAGCATAGTGTATAAGCTCAGAGAGGAGATATATATATATATATACATATATATATATATACATATATATATATATATATATATATATATATATACACACAATGCTATTGATATCAAAGTTCTCATAATTCCTTCATTGACCTTATGTTGAAAAGGCATGTGATAAATTTAGTGGTTAGGGTGGGGGACTAGGCAATTGTTACTAAACGTTTCAGTTCTCCAGAATAGAGAGCCAAGAAATAAGGTTCCACACCTAAACCAACTGACCTTTGACAAAGCTTACAAAATAAGCAATGAGGAAAGGACTCCCTACTGAATAAATAGTGATGAGATAACTGGCTAGCCATATGCAGAAGGCTGAAACTGGACCCTTTCCTTACACCATATAAAAAAAAAATCAACTGAAGACTTAACAATTTAAAGACTTAAATGGAAGACCTAAAACTGAAAACCCTGGAAGACAACCTGAGCAATAACATTCTGGACATAGGAATGTGCAAAGATTTCATAATGAAGATACCAAAATTAAGTGCAAAAAAAGGAAAAATTGACAAATGGCATCCAATTAAACTTAAGAGCTTTTGCAATGCAAAAGAAAGTATCACGAGTATAAACAAGCAACCTACAGAAAGGGAGAAAATATTTGCAAACTATGCATCAGAAAAAGGACTAAATCCAGCATCTGTAAGAGACTTAAACAAATTTACAAGAAAAAAACAAACAACCTAATTAAAAAGTAGGCAAAGGACATGAACAGACACTCTTTAAAAGAAGACATACATGTGGCCAACAAGCATATGAAAAAAAAAATCTCAATGTCACTGATCATTAGAGAAATGCAAATCAAAACCACAATGAAGTACCATATTTCATGACTCAGAATGGTTATTAAAAAGTTGAAAAATAATAGATGCTGGCTAGGTTGCAGATAAACAGGAACACTTATACACTTTTGGTAGGAGTGTAAATTAGTTCAACCTGTGGAAAGCAGTGTGACAATTTCACTAAGACTTAAAAACAGAACTACCATTAAACCCAGCAATCCCATTATTGAGTATGTACCCAAAGGAATATAAATCATTCTACCACAAAGACATATGTATGAATATGTATATTGCAGCACTATTCACAATAGCAAAGACATGGAATCAACCCAAATGTCCATCAGTGGCAGACTGGATAAAGAAAATGTGGTACATATACACCAGGGAATGCTATGCAGCTATATATATATATAAAAAAAAAAGGAGATCATATACTTTGCAGGAACATGAATGCAGCTAGAGGCCATTATCCTTAGCAAACTAATGCAGGAACAGATAACTAAATATCACAGGATCTCCTTTATAAGTGGGAGCTAAATGATGAGAACATATGGACACAAAAATGGAAACAACAGACACAGAAGCCTACAAGAGAGTGGAGTGTGGGAGGAGGGAGAGGAGCAGAAAAAAAAAGACTTTTGGGTACAAGGCTTAGTATCTGGGTGATTAAATAATCTGTACAAAAAACCCTGTGACATGAGTTTACCTATATAACAAACCTGCACATGTACCCCTGAACCTAAAATGAAAGTTTAAGGAAAACAACAACCACCAAAATTTTGTTCTCCTATGTAGAGGGGAAAACCTAACTAAACAAATTAAAATGTTTGAATAAGTATGAGTCTTTCTATATTTATTTCTTTCATCAACCCCAGCAATTGGAATTGCATGTTTTATATTATTATCCACTAAATTATTAGTATGCTATTAAAATACATATATTTTACATATTTATATTAATTTATTTAACACTTAGAATATTTCTCTGATAGTTTAATTTTACCAAGATATAGTTGATTGTAAAGAAAAATATGTAAATATATCTGGATAAAGAAAATGTGGTACATATACACCATGAAATACTATGCAGCCAAAAAAGGAATGAGATCATGTCCTTTGCAGGGACATAGATGGAGCTGGAAGCCATTATACTCAGGAACGTAACACAGGAGCAGAAAACCAAACAGCACATGTTCTCACTTGTAAGTGGGAGCTGAACAATGAGAACACATTGATACAGGAAGGGGAACAACACACACTGGGGCCTGTCGGGGGGTGGGGTAAGAAGAGGGAAAGCATCAGGACAAACAGCCAATGCATGAGGGTCTTAATACCTAGGTGATCTGTTGATAGGTGCAGCAAACCCATGTCACATATTTACATATGTAACAAACCTGCACGTTCTGCACATATATCCCAGAACTTAAAATAAAATTTTAAAAAGAAAAATATAAATATAATAAAAACATTAAAATTTAACACTAAAATTATTTACTTTAAAAACTTATTGTTTAATACTGAAATTGAAGTAAAAGACATGTCTATCTTTGTTGCTTATAAATTGAGTCTTATAAAGCTCAAATTATAATAAGCAGTAGAGTTTAATAAATATGTTTTCCAATTCTTCCGAATATAAAAAGTACTGGCCTATGCTAATTTCATTCATTACATTTTTTTCTCCAATTGAAAAGTTAATAAATCAGGAATTATTTATTTTGCTAACATCATAGTGAGTCTGTTACCTAAATGACTTGTATAATGTTTAATAACATAGAGGATTACTTTTAGAATGTATAAATTGCATGAGGCCATGAACTGTTTGAGATGGATAAAGAGCTAAATTAACTAAAAATATTCTAAGTGGTTAAGTTAGTGTGACAATTATGAAACCTTTTGGCTTTTACGGTTCAAAGGAGAATTCACTTTCAAGATAAGATTAGAAAAGGTCATTATTATTGCCACTCAAGGAACTACTACTTTCTTTACTTAGAACTGAATATACTTTATTGAAAAATGTTTATGTAGTCCACAGTATACAATTCAATGTTCCTCCTTTGTTTGGAAATGTTTTCTAGAAATTTAAAATATGTCTACTGCTACCAAAAGAATTTAGAAAGTACTGTATAACTTTCCATTTTATTTAATAGTGGTGTCTGTTATTTTTTATTTTTTATTTTTAATATTGGTGGGTACATAATAGGTGTATATATTTATGGGGTACATGAGATGTATTGATACAGGCATGAGATATGAAATAATCAGATCATGGAGAATGGGGTATCCATCCCCTCAAGCATTTATCCTTTATGTTACAAACAATCCAAGTACACTCTTTTAGTTACTTTGAAATGTACAATTAAGTTATTATTCACTACAGTCATCTTTGTTTGCTATCAAACAGTAGGTCTTATTCATTCTTTCTTTCTATTTTTTTGTACCCATTAACCATCCCCACTTCCCAACCCTAGCCTCCTACTACCTTTCCAAATCTCTGGTAACCATCCTTCTGCTATCTATGTTCATGAGTTCAATTGCTTTGATTTTTAGATCCCACAAATAAGTGATGTTTCTGTGCCTGGCTTATTTCATTTACCGTAATCATCTCCAGCTTCATCTATGTTGCTGCAAGTGATAAGATGCCATTCTTTTATATGGCTGAAGAGTGTTCCTTTTTGTTTGTGTACCACATTTTCTTTTTCCATTCATCTGTTGATGGACACTTAGGTTGCTTCCAAATCTTAGCTATTGTAAGTGTCTTTAAAAAATATACTGGAATACTCTTTGATAGCAAACTGTAGAGCGTCATATGCCAGTGCACTTTTCTATAATCTGTAGTGTCATTCTATTTTTATATAGTCTATTTTATCACACTAGAACCTATATCTTGGGATATTATCTTCTGGAGGTGTTTTATCATGCATCTTGAATTCATCCAGTGATATCTGCCTCTCACCAATAGATATTATTATTTATCTGAAAGCACAAATACATAGATTTAAGAATTTTCTATTCTTTTAAATAATAATGTTTATTTTTTCTATTTTACTATTAATCTATGAGTATACATTTATTATCTTTGTTTGTTCCTTTTAAGCTTTGCTTAAGTTATTAATGTAATTAGCTAAACTAAAGTGCGCTATACATTGGCAAATTGGACTAATATTGACAAGCCTAGCAAAGGTAGATTATAATAATTTTATATATGTACAAAATACATCATTAATTTCTAATTTTAGAAGTTATGTTGCGTATTGGTCAGCATCTTTAAATATGTTATTTTTAATTAGCAATGCTGTGATAAACTTGCTTGCTTGGTGAAGCAAAATTACGTTTAAAAAAGTGGGGGACCTCAGCAGCTAGTCAAAGGAACACAAAAAATAAATGTGAAATGGTTTCCAGACTTTCACTAAAGGTAATTTATTATTCAGCCATTTAGTCATCCATTCAAAATATACTTAAATATTCTGTGCTAGGTATTTGCTGTTTCCCAGTTAGATCCACACCACACATTTTTAAAGTTACTTTCTTGTCCACGAAGCTAACCCGCATGGACTACAGCTTTTCTCTGCTTCCAGTTTGGTTAAAGCAATTGGTGCCCTGGCAAGAGATATCAGGCAGAAAGTAGATTGAGGTCCAAGTGTTTTTACCCCCTGCTCCATAAAGGTGTCCTTTGGGCCGTATTACTTAACTGATGTATCCTACTCTACTCAAGGGATCTTCATTGTATTACTTTCTCCACCTTGTTCCCTTGGATCTAGGAGTGGTGGCAGCCTATTCACTGCACATTCACATGTCTCTTTGTAAAAAGTCCTTTGTAAATGCACTCTCTTCTAATGATTCCAACTCTGGGTGAACCATCTATTTACCACCGTACCCAAACTAACGCCATTGCCTACTATGCACCAAGTGTTTTTCTTGGTATTATCAAGATAGTTCTCTTTTATTTATTTTTCTATTTATTTATTCATTATATATTTATTATTTATCCATTAATTTATTCATTTTAAAAATAGATGGGACTGAGAGCTCTCTAAATTCTTTGCATCATTGAATAAATTTAGCTCTTAATATCTTTTCAGGTCTGCCCTCTCCCGATCAAAATCCCGATCTTAAAAAGCAAAATAAACCACAAGAAGACCCTGGGGGTTGTGAATTTAAAATATGTGATATATTTTGTGCCAACATTCTTTCCATGTGAGGACAAAAGCATTTATTTGGTGTTTAAATTCAGTGCAAAAATACAGTGTCTCCCTCATTAAACTCTGTTTAGATGTTTTTGACTAGAAGTGTATATTCCTCAAATATATTTATTATAACAATAATTTTTGATAATCATATAATATGGATTGCCAATGGAGATTGTTAAAAGAGACTTTTATTTTTATGTGTGTGATTCATAGTTACAGCAAATATAAAAACATTATTCTTCAAGAAACATAAAATAAGCTATCATTTCTCCCCATTATTCTTTTAAAATTTTTACTATACACTATTTTTAAAGGTAATTACAAGATACTTTTTAGATTAAGAAGCGTTAAAATTATTTAAAAACATTTCTTCTCCTGAAGTGTCCCCTAGAAGGGCATTCATTGGCCACAGCTCATAAAGCACATTCATTGCATAGTGCGTGCTTGGAGGACAACGGAGTGGGTGTCTGCCTAAAGCAGAAGGCTTGCATAAAGAAGAAAGGGTTAACAAAAGGCTGCAGTCAGATGGAGCTAGCCTTAGAGACCCACTCAGGAAACATGGACTTAATCCTACAAGTCAGCAAGAACCATCTGCTACTAAGAAGCTTTTTAAAAGTGCAGGTTCTTGGCCACTATCCCAGACCTAATCATTCAGATCTCCAGTGGCGGCACCTGGGAATCTGAATTTGTCATGCTTTCGAGGTGACTCTTACTCATGCTAATATTTGAGAACCAGTTCTGTAGGTGGCAATGGATTTTGCAGGTTGGGGCTTTTCTTTTTCTTTTCTTTTCTTTTGTCTTTTTCTTTTCTTTTCTTTTCTTTTTTTTTTTTTTTGAGACAGAGTCTCACTCTGTTGCCCAGGCTGGAGTGCAAAGGGGCTATCTTGGCTCACTACAACCTCCATCCCCAGGTTCAAGCGATTCTCCTGCCTCAGCCTCCCGAGCAGCTGAGATTACAGGTGCCCGCCATCAAGCCCTGCTATCTTTTTTATTTTTAGTAGAGACAGGGTTTCACCATGTTGGCCAGGCTGGTCTCAAACTCCTGACTTCAGGTGATCCGCCAGCCTTGGCCTCACAAAGTGCTGGGATTACAGGTGTGAGCCACCACACCTGGCCAGAGCTTTTATTTTCTATTTGTTTGTTTGTTTAAAGTAAAGGAGTATAATAAAACACTAATTTTAGTGTTTAGTGTTGGGACAAGGATTCCTGGTAGGGCATTATTTTAATTGCCTAAGCAATGTGGTGGTGAGAATCAGAATGACAGGGGAAACTGTAAAAATGGAATGGATGTGGCTTATTTAACAGCTATTTAAAACAAGAAAAAAATGGACACAGTTTTTTTCTTAAAATTTCTTCCTGTTGTTCAAAAATTGTATTGTGAAAAAATGTTTTGTGCTAATATATAGAATTATTTTATTATAAATAGTTTCATCTCAATTGCTTTGTACTGCAACTGTTTATGTGAAGATAATACATGTGTTATCATGTGATTACATCCAAGATTTATTCATAAGAATTAAACCAAATGCATTCTGCCAAAAAAATAAATAAAACAAAATATAGATGTGAATATATTTTAGGTAGTTTAGGAAAATGAGTCAACGATTTCATTGGGAGAGTGATGAGCAACTAAACTCAAATATCCTAATGGTTACATGTTTTATAAGAGCTATTGGATGAATTTAAATAAAGGGGGATTATTGCTATACTAATATATGCATCCTCTCCTAAAACTTTATTACAGAAATAAACTTTTATTTCAAAGTCTAAAATATTCAACTGAATATTTTCTTCATTGACTCTTACAACATCCAAGCACTTAAAAAATTGTCAGAAATCTTTTTGCTAAGTCATGATTGTTAGTAAAGTTATCCGAATTTAAGTAAGTCCTCAAATGACAGAGATTGTCCTTTAATCATTTCTCTATCCTCAAAGTGTAGCACAGTCTCAGGTACAATATACATGTTTTAGATAAGTGCCTGTAATTAACAATCAACATATATACTATACAATAAAGATAACACGTTTAATCAAGGAGAAGACATGCATTCTAAATTTAGAATATTCATTTAAAATGACATATTTTCACAGAACAAATAATATGTTTTTTCTTTTGAGTATTTCTAATGTGCTTCCCATTTTTGTTGACCTTGATTTTTCCTAAGATAACTCTCCCTAGTCAATGCACCTATCTAAAATGGATTTAAATTGTATGTCAAAATCTACTTAATCCTTAAATTCCTTTTGGTTCAAAAGATGTAAAGGCAGTTAAATTATGAACAAATTTATTTTTGTATTCCATTTTCTTTTATCCGCTCACTGGGGAAGAAATCAGGAAGTAAAAAGGCACCTGCAAATAAGAATGGTGCAGATGAAGCTTATATGGTATTCATGAAGTCAACAACAATATGAGATGGGTTATGCAAACAATGTTATCTTTTAGTTCAATTTACAAGAAAAGTCTTTAATGTAAATAGGTAAACGACTTGGACTCATCTCTTTTTGTGATAATTGCATTTAACGTTATTGAAGAGTTACATCTAAATATAAATTCTTGGCCGTATCTCTAAAAACTTTGAGAATGATTCTTCTTCCTCTAATTTACTTATATTTAACTAGTTTGTTTTTGTCTGGAATAATGCAGAACTGATACCAGAAGATGAAAATCTATTTATTTTATGTATCACTTAAGAAACACTGGGCTGGGTGCGATGGCTCACACCTGTAATTCTAGCACTTTGGGAGGCCGACCTGGACGGATCACCTGAGGTCAGGAGTTCAAGACTAGATAAACTCGTCTCTACTAAAAATACAAAAACATTAGCCGGGTGTGGTGGCAGGTGCCTGTAATCCCAGGCTACTTGGGAGGCTGAGGCAGGAGAGTCGCTTGAACCTGGGAGGTGGAGGGTTCAGTGAGCCAATATCACACCACTGCACTACAGCCTGGGCAACAAGAGCTAAACTCCATCTGAAAAAATACAAAAAACAAACAAACAAACAAAATACTGGATGATTTAGAAAGATATTTAAGAAACTAGCTCCTTTTCAAATAAGAAAAATGTCTGTCTTATGTTGCGAAGGATTATTGTTTTCTTCTCACTGGAATGTTTCTGTATGATAAACAACATGATCCAATAAAAGTAGCAAAGACATGTTGCAATCTAGCCAGGGTTTAAATCTTGTTTCCACCACTCAATACTTGTTAAATCATCCATAAATTTATTTTAAAGCCTTGTTATGGAAAAGTTCATTATTACTTTGTTGAGTTGTTGATCAATATGTGTGAATCTCTTATTCTATAAATTTTATTTTTTACAATCTTCAGTGATAAGTATTATGCATGCAATACATATGTATAAATATTTTGGTATATTGTGCAAATGTCAATATTTATATGAAAAATGTGATTTTCACAAAAGATCAGCACTTTCTATGTAAAAAATATGCATTTTGATTTTGTTTCATGGGTTGTTGTATGTTTGCACAGCAACATAATTAGCTGAGAAAACTTTAGTGATTGTATTTAATATTTATTTCTGCTTTATATGTTTTAACCTTCATACTCACTTCTTTCTCGTTACCCAATATTAGCTTTCTCTACCAGGGGGATAGCTGATCAGTTTCTACCTAAATGCACATTGGCTGCTGAGAGATCATGAAAGATAAGAAACTAGAGATGGTTATTGAACTGTCATAATTAAGTCCATGGTGATCTTCACATGAATAGATACATAGAATGATAAAAGTAAGTTTAAAATTGTTTAAAAAGTACATTGACAAAAATATTAGATTTTCTGTTAAGAATAATCCATTTTCTTCAACAAGACAATACAAGAGAGGGAAGCAGATTTAGATTAAAAGAGACTGAAGAGACATAAAACATGAAAATGTAAGCATTTATACTGATCTGAATAAACTATGAAATGATACTTTTTTTAGAAAATTGGGGAAAATTTAATTATAAGCATAATATTGGATAATACTAAGTAATTAATTTTATATTGTTAAGTTTGATAAGGGCATTAGGGTGAAACAGGGCTCTGTATTCTTTTGAGTTGCTTATAGAAATATACAAGATGAAGTGATAGGAAGTCAGGGATCTTTAAAATACCTCAAGAAATAGATGAAGCAGTGTGAGGAAATATTTATAATGATTGATTCTAAATAAAGGCTCTACAGATAAATTCTATTTATTTATTTATTTATTTATTTATTTAGAGACAGTTTTGCTCTTGTCACCTAGGCTGGAGTGCACTGGCGCGATCTCAGCTCACTGCAACCTCCGCCTCCCGGGTTCAAGCGATTCTCCGGCCCCAGCCTACCAAGTAGCTGGGATCACAGGCATGCACCACCATGCCCAGCTAATTTTTGTGTTTTTAGCAGAGACTGGATTTCGTCATGCTGGCCAAGCTGGTCTCAAACTCCTGACCTCAGATGATCCTCCTGCCTTGGCCTCCCAAAGTTCTGGGATTACAGATGTGAGCCACTGTGCCCAGCCAAATTTTATTTCTTTATTATATATGTCTATTATAGAGACATATGAATATTATAAAGACATATATATATGTATGTATATACATATACATAAACTCCCAAGCATAGCGCTGACAAGTGTATGATAACCACTAAGACATGAGATTTGTTTGTAGGAATGCTTCCCTTTAGCAATCAACCTCCATGGTACCAAAGGCCTTAAACAAGTCTGCCAAACTATGAGAGGCAACACAGAAGGATGTGAATGGCATGTGAGTCACTATATATATATATATATATGTCTATTATATATATGTCTATTACCATATATCGTCCATATGTATATATAATATATATACATTATATATAATATATACTAATATATATTATATAGACATATACTTAATTTTTTTCTAATAAAATTTGTTTGAAATCATTTTTAATTAATGACCAGCTTTCTGCTGCAAAGTACTAAAAGTACTTCGTAAAATTAAAAAGAGAAAACCAACTTTGTGATTGCTTTAGTGACCTGGCAAGAAAACAAGGAATCATGAGACCAAAAACTAATTTAAAACAAGTAAGCAGAGTGATAAATGACATTTCATTGGAACTAGATTTTTGCCCTGAGGACATTACAAAACAAAGCCTAAAGAAATTGAGCTTTGTTTTTTATGTATTTCTGGGACTGTCTCAGAGTGTGAAATCTTATAGTGGAACTTCTAAGTACAGTTAAGACTTCAGTTAATTATAATTTCAGTGTAAGTATGCATTAAATATAGGGCCACATTCTCTCATCTCTTGCTGGTCCAAGAAAAACTATCTGCCTCAAAATGAAGAGCTAGGTGGAAAGAAAAAAAAAATCACTGAGAATTAATAATGCTAAGCCAACTTTTAATAGTTATTCATTCTGAATTTAGTTAATCTTATTGATTAAGAAAAATTCCAAATGTGCAATTATAATCAAGTGCCTGCTAGGCACCTGACCAAAGCAAATACAAATAACCCTGAATAAATCTGCATGCCTCAAAGAATTTCCGTTGATAAGTTTCAGTGGAAAACGAGCTCACAGTTAAAATCACAAAACACACAAGGAAATAAGACAACATAAATGAGAGATAGTAGAACAACAGAATATCAAATTATAATCAAAAAAGAAACCCATAACTGAGTTTAAGAAACTGGATATGAATGATCTCTTCTATTTATAGGAACAAAAAGAGATAATGAGAACATAAATATGCTGCATTTGGATATTACGGAAAACTTACTCTGGTTACCTCAATGAACTGTACTTCCAGTTGACTTTGTCTAGTCATGTCCCACATTCACTTTGGGCTTGGCAATTTTTCCTGGCTTGTTCAGTGAGGAACTACCAAGCATAGTGCCAGCAAGTGTATGGTGAGCACTAAGACATGAAGTTTGTTTGTAGGAATGCTCCCTTTAGCAATCAACTTCCATGGTACAAAAGACCTTAAACAAGTCTACTGAACTATGAGAGGCAACATAAAAGGAGCCAGTGTCATGTGAGACACCAAGTTGACTGTGTTGGCATCAGCCAGGCATCTAGGGGAATGCCACCATGTAGATGACTTTAGCTATGTCACATGGAACTGAATCCAGTCAACACAAAAAGAATCACAAAAATTAATAAATCAATATTGTTTCAAACCAGCAGTAGGCAAAATTTTTATGTAAATGGCCAAGTTGTAATTATTTTTGACTTTGTGAGTCATAAGATCTCTTTTCCAAACACTCAGTTCTGTTGTAACACAACAGCAGCCACAGTCAGTATGTGAACAAACAAATATTGCTGTTTCAATAAAACATTATTCATGGACACTGAAATTTGAATTCCATATAATTTTCACTTGACACAAGTTATTCTTTTTTTATAACCATTTAAAAATACGAACACCATTCTTGGCGGACCAATGTGGCAAACAGGTGCTGTGCCTAATTTGGCCTGCAGCCTGCAGTTTTTGACCTCTGTTATCGACTACAATTTTTTCATCAGTTTGTTACACATGAGTAAATAACTGAAACAAAAATTGTTACCTGAAGTTGGGTGCTGCTGTAAAGAGCCTTGCTCATTACATCTTAGGTCATTAGTCCTTTATTCTAATGTAATTTCTATTTGGGCCTTCTTTCTATTTCTATCATACAGTCCATGGATCTACAGTATTTCCTAAGATAAAATCCAAATTTGATAAAATGTTATTTTTCAAGTGAAGAGTATTAAAAAAAGGATTCTTTCAAAATACTATTTATAAGTTATATATTCAGGTAGACTATTTTATATAGGAAAACACATGATAAATTTATAAAGCAAGACGTAATCTTACCAGACCAGTAGAAAATTCAAATGTTGAAATTTTTTGGTTGGGTTTAATGAACTTCACCATCTGTCTGTTTTTTAGAGAAAGCTATCTGAATCTATGTATTGCTCATGATGGTTCAATTTTCAGTCTTAGGTAGAAAGTTTCTTGGATTAGTCTTTGACTCAGGTTCAGGCAGATATAATGCTATATCATTGGCAGTGGCCATCAAAATGCAACAACTATACTCTGATCTTAATAGTTAAACAGGTCATTTTTATAGAAATAGCCAAGTATTAGTATGTAACTGAAGAGTATTGAAATGTTTCTGTGTTAGGACTATGCAGTCCTGATTTTGATATCTAATATACAGTTTTTCTTTGCATTGTGAGATATCATTTTACCTTTGAAAAATATCTGGGATTAATTTGCTGAGACAAAATTTTTCTATTATTGTCTCATTCAAATTTTAAACAACATAGCAAAAATTTTTTTGTGTGTGTTTATTTGTTATCTCACTGATAATGGGTTACACTACTATGTTGAAATGAAGTGAGATTCTTGGTGAGAGGTCAGATTTAAAGAAATGTAGCTGCTTTATGTATCTCCTCAGGGAAAAAGTGATTGTGCATTGCAGTAGGCTTGCCTTGACCATTCCCAAGTTTTAGGAAGTGAGGCAAAGAGAAGCCATAGTTCTCAGAATATAATAAAGCAGCTTGCCGATTAAGTAATAAAATTTATGCTTAAAGACCGTTAAACTTGGCCTTATCATCCAATGCCCATCAGTCTCTTTAGGTAGAAATAAATTCCTTTGCTACCTTTAATACCAGATAAAACATCAATGGGGAATTTTATCTTGGTTGATGAGGGAAATTAGCTTCTTGGTAATAACAAGAAAAGACAATAAAATGACTGACAATTACTGTTTGCTTATCCCACATGGGCAGCATCCAGAAAAACGTACAAAAGAGTTATTTATCTTGGCTAAATTATATTTTCTAACCTATAAATCTTTCAGTTGGAGTAAGTATGTTGGATTGGCTCATGTGCTTAGTCGAACTTTACTCCTGGCTCCTAAATGGGAAGAGATTTTCATCCCAGATTCCTCCTCCTAGGGCACAACTTCTCCTCTTATTGGTAGGAAATCTATTTCTTTTTCTTCAGTGCTTTTTATTTCGTATAATGGTCCTCAAACTTTAAAAGACGCATTAGCATCCTCCAAACTCCCGACTTAGTCATTTCTTTTTAGACATTAGTGTGCATTACCAATTTATTCCATCTGTTTTTATATTTTGGTCCAGGAACAAACCAGTGGAAAACAGACAAACTAAAGATTAGAAAACACTTCTTAGTGTCAAGCAACTTTATCACAAATCAAAACTTTTTCATCATCAAGATTGAATTCATCTTCTAAATTTTTCATAAAATAACTTTCATTCACATCATCTATGTTGAATTAAAACATCAGAAGTTAGCCCCTTTCTGTTATCAAATCTTTGGTCAACCCTGGGCCTTAGATGAGGGAAAGGTTGACCTCAAAAGAATTTGCAAGATGATAGTTGGGGTTGCAAGTGATAAAGAGAGACTAAAAGCTTTTGCTCCCATTCAGGGAATGATAACTTTTGTGCAGTTGGCTAATGATGATTGTGATTATGGCATGGGACTTGATTTAGGAATGGAACTCTTTGCTCTGGTTCACACTATATTCACAAGGTTACTGATCACCTTTTATCTTTTATGTATAATCTGTTGAAGAGGAATCTATTTACAGAAATTATTGAAGGACATCTGGCAAACAGAGAACATAGACCAACTTGCTGCATGAGTGAGGCAGTTTTGTTTAGTATACAATATTTCTAAAAATTAGTATGAAACTTGTGATTTTTGTTTTTTTAAGGAATACAAAAAATGAATTTATGAAAACATTTACTAAAAAAATGAGTATGAGTTAGGGATGAAAAATAATTCAGCCACGATTATTAAATTAATGTAATAAGCTATTTTACTGAAAAATTCAAAGCCTTAATTGGCTAATCTGAAATGCAAAATGTATATAAGTGAATTTACATATAAGGTTTCCAAAAATCATTCAATTATTAAACAGTTCTCAACAAAGACTTTATGGAATTACTTCCATAATATGCCTTGTTGTGAAAAAAATTACTTTTTTTAGTTATGTTGATTTCATTTGTGCAATTGTTACTATTAAACAAAATTTAGTCCATTTTATTTTTCTCTTGTTCTAACCTCCTGACATAAATAATAAAGAACAAGTCAGCAAAATCCCCTTTATAGAAATCAACTCCAACATGAACAAAGAATATTAAAATTATTTAAGACATTAAATTATGTATAACTAGTTTTAACCGTATTACATATTCAGCATTTCCAAAGCAAATGGTATGAAATACTCCAATTCACAAAAAGACAAATGTTGCATGTTCTTCCCTATGTCTGAGCTAAATATTTGATTACATGGAAGTAGAGAGTGAAAGGTAGTTAACAGAAACTGGGAAGAGGGAGTAGGTGAGGGGAAGAGGAGGATGAAAAGAATTGGGTTGGCACATGCCTGTAATCCCAGCACTTTGGGAGGCCAAGGAGGGCAGATCACAAGGTCAGGAGATCGAGACCATCCTGGCCAACATGGTGAAACCCCATCTCTACTAAAAATACAAAAATTAGCTGGGTGTGGTGGTGTGGGCCTGTAGTCCCGCTACTCAGGAGGCTGGGGCAGGAGAATCACTTGAATCCAGGAGGCAGAGACTGCAGTGAGCCAAGATCATGCCATTGCACTCCAGCCTGGGTGACAGAGCAAGATTCTGTCTTGAAAAAAAAAAAAAAGTGGGTTAAAGGGTGCAAACATACAATAAAGTAAAAGAAATAAACTCATTGTGTGATAGGATAACTACACTTAAAAATGTAATTATTAATATTTGAGTGATGGAAACCCTAAATACCCTGAATTAATCACTATGCATTATATATGCACAATAACATTTCTCATGTACCCCATAAATCTATACAAATAAAAAATGAAAATAAATAAAAAAATAAAATAGCTTCACTCATAGCAAACATTTAAATGATATTAGTTATCACTGATTCTTCATAGTCCACTCGCATTCCATTGCACTTTATAATAACAAGAAAACATTGTTTACATTCTTCAAGGCAAAGATTTCATTCTCCATGTGCTTCTGAATGCAGTAGTCAATCTTCATTTGAGGCTTTTCTTTTTCAAATGCAGTTTCAGTTTCCTGTGGTCAACTGTAGTCTAAAAATATTAAATAAAAAACTCTAGAAATATACAATTTATAAACTTTAAATCGTATACCATTCTGAGTTTCACAATAAAATCTCATACCATCTTTCTGTGTCCCAAAGGCCATGAATCATCCCTTTGTCCAGCATACCCATGCCATATACACTACCTCCCTGTTACACACTTAAAAGTCATCACAGTTCTCAGGTCAAAAAACGATTATATACAGGGTTGGAACTAGCCTCCATTCCAGGCATCTGGTGGAGGTATTGAAATGTATCCATCATGGATAAGGGGGGACTACTATATCAGAATGTAAGTTAGATGTATTGGCATTTTAAATTTCTGTAGTCACATTTTTCTACATATTCCATCCAAACAAGTTTTATTGTTTGTTTTTAAAAGGTTATTTTTATGCTAACATATTTTATAACACCTATGATGGGAAATACATGGAAAGGTAGAGTAGGTCTGGTGGTACTTCCTCCCTCCTTTTGTTGTTCTTTTGATAGATTTAGGGGAAACAAGTGCAGTAGTGTCACATGGATATAGTGTTTAGTGGTGAAGTCTCTGCCTTTAGTGTACCCATCACCTGAATAGTGTACATTGTATTCCGTAGGTAGTATTTGATCTCTCCCCCTGCCCCACCTTCTGGAGTCCCCATTGTCTATTATTTCATTCTGTATGCCCATGTGTATCCAATTGTTTAGCTCCCACTTTAAGTGAGAACATACGGTATTTGACTGTTTCTGAGTTATTTCTCTTAGGATAATGGGCTCCAGCTGCATCCATGTTGTTGCAAAGAACATTATTTCATTCTTTTTTGACTGCATAGCATTCCATGGTAGAGATATATATCAAAGTTTTTAAATCCATTCATCAGTTGTTGGACACTTAGGTTGATTCCATGATTTTGCTATTGTGAATAGCGCTGTGATAAACATAACGAGCGTATCTTTTGGATGTAATGATTTCTTCTCCTTTTTATATATACCCAGTACAGGATAGCTGGTTTGAATGATAGTTCCATTTTTAGTTTTTTGAGAAATCTCCATGCTGTTTTCCTTAGAGGATGTACTAATTTACATTCTCACCCACAATGAATAAGTGTTCCCCTTTCTCCACATACTCACCAACATCTGTTGTTTTTTGAGTTTTTAATAATAGCCATTCTGACAGGGGTGAGGTGGTATCTCATTGTGGTTTCAGTTTTCATTTCTTTGATGATAAGTGATGTTGCGTATTTTTTCATATGCTTTTTGGCTGCTTGTATATCTTCTTGGAAAATAGATATGTGTCAATGGAACAGAATAGAGAACCCAGAAGTAAAGCCACATACCTACAACCAACGGATCTTTGACAAAATCAACAAAAGTATTCACTGGTGAAAGGACACCCTATTCAATAAATGATTTCAGGCAAATTGGATCACCATACACAGAAGAATGAAACTGAACCCTTATCTCTTACCATATACAAAAATTAACCCTAGATGGATCAAATACTTAAATGTAAGATCTGAAGCTATAAAAATCCTAGAAGGAAACCTAGGAAAATATCTTTTGTATATTGGCCTAACCAAAGAATTTATGATTAAGTCCTCCAAAGGAAACACAACAAAAACAAAAATAAACAAATAGGACTTATTTAAATTACAAAGCTTTTACACAACAAAAGAAATACTCAACACAGTAAACAGACAACCTACAGAACAGGAGAAAATATTTGCAAATACATCCAACAAAGGGCTAATATCCAGAATCTACAAAGAACTAAAAAGCTCCGCAAGGAAAAAACAAACAAAGAAATAACCCTATTTTAAAGTGGGCAAAGAACGTGTACAGACATTTTTCAATAGCAATACTATAAAAGCAACAAATATAGGCTTCAACAAAAAAATTAAAAAATACGTGTATTTCAGTTTAACACAAATTTGCTTTGAGAGGATAAAATAGAAAGCAAGTATCTGGTTCTTTTCATAACTTTTATTATGCAAACATAACATTTTTCAGAAACAGAAAAATACTAGTTTACATTAAAGTTGTCATTTAAAATATTTAGAAACTCACATGAACATCTGAGGCCATAGACATGGTTGGACAACCTTAAATAGCATTCAAATTATATTAAATATAAAAAGAAAGTAAGTAAAATTTTTTTCTTATGGTAATCAACTCATCCATTTGCAAGGTCTGTTTATAGATGACAGCCTTTGAAAAGAAACCTGAAGAAAATGAAGTTGCTAATCAGGTTGATATTGGATGAGAAATATTGTAAGTAGTGGGAACAAAAAATGCAGTGTCTTCAAGTTTGCAGAAGAGCAAGAAAAACATGATGACTGGGTGGAAAAAGCAAGAACTTGTTATAGGGAGTAAAATAGTCTGAAGTCAGGGCATTAATGAGGCCATATTGTAGCAGGACTTGAAGAGCACAGTTAGGACTTTGGTGCGAGAAAGAAGGGAAGTGTTTGTTAGCAAAAGCGTATGATGTTTTGCTGAATTTTAACAAGATCATTCTGGCAGAAGAAATTAGGGGAAATAAAAGCTGGACAGGGTGACCATTCTTGGGAGGTTGCTGCAATAATCATAAAGAATGGCACAGAGACTGAGGGAGGCAGACAGAGGTAGTTAGAAGTTATCAATTACAGATATATTTTTCCAGATACAGCCAACACCATTTTCAAATGGATTAAATGTTGTTAAAATTTTTTATTCTGTTTTGTCTCCAAAAGCAATTGGAAAAAATGAAATGTAAAATAAGTGAGATATTGTTTGGGAAGACTGTCGAGCTCATGAATAAGAAGAAAAAGAGAATAAATTTTCACATCCATCCCACAGGTGACTAATAAAAGTAAATATTGGCTTATATTTAGATATGGTGTTACTAAAGTGTTGGCAGAATATTAAAATTGAAAAGGCAGGAACATTCTCAAATCATGTAAAAGTAGAATAATTTGCATCTGAAGACAAAGAATTTACAGTCATCTATATTAACTAACTGATTAATAAACAAATACTTTGAGCATCCATTAAATACCAAGGACCTTTCTGGATAGGAGATATAGTCATTAACCATAGAGAGAAAGCCAACTCTCTCCAAGGTTAAGAGTACTGGCAATAGTTGTTGTCATTTATGGTAAATGTAACGGCCTGTTACTGGAAATGGAATGAGAGGATTAAATGGTGGTAGTAGTTTCTATCCTTGTGTATTTCAGGGTCTTAGCAACTGGGTAGGTTGTGTGTTAATTCTGTGCACATATGTCATGTGTATTTAACATATCATATGACACAGAAACAATCTGTTTATGGACTGGTTTCCTCCTACCACCAATTCCAGTTTGGAAGCTCCAACCCCCAAAGTATTCGGAGACAGGGCCTTTAAGGAGCTACTTATTATAAAATAAGGTCATCATGGTAGAGCCTTAATCCAATAAAACTGGTGTCCCTATAAGAAGAGGAAAATATAGCAGGGATGTGTCTCTCTTGATGCATGTATAAAGGAAAGGCCATGTGAGGACACACTGTGAAGACATTCACCTGTAAGACAGGAAGAGAAGCCTTTCTAGAAACCAACCCTGCTTCTACCTTGGTCTTGGACTTCCAGCCTTCACAACTGTGAGAAAATAAATTTATATTTTTTAAGCCACCCAGTGTATAGTATTCTGTGATGGAAGCCTGAACAGACTAATACACATTTCAGCAATTTATGTTATGTCATCACTAGTTTATCTTTGTTTGCTTCCCTGTGTTGTATCAGTAAGTGTTTAATGCATGTCATTCAAAGTACACTGGTAAATTAAGTGATTGTGAAACGAAAGTAGGGAATTATGTGCTTGCCCACATATTGGAAAAGGTAGAGAATACAGACTCTAGGCTTGATTATATGGATACTCTGAGAACAGCATAAATAATTGTCCTTCCAGGGAAGCTAATACTTGGGTTGTTTAGAAACCAAAGATTTTAGAAACCTCTGATTCACAAGAATCATCAGGCTGGCTAACCGTTAAGATTCCTCTTCTCCTTTGGGAGGCCAAGGCAAGCAGATCACAAGGTCAGGAGATCGAGACAATCCTGGCTAACGCAGTGAAACCCCGTCTGTACTAAAAATACCAAAAATTAGCTGGACGTGGTGGCATATGCCTGCAGTCCCAGCTTCTTGGGAGGTTGAGGCAGCAGAATTGCTTGAACCTGGGAGGCGGAGGTTGCAGTGAGCCAAGATCTCACCACTGCACTCCAGCCTGGGCAACAGAAAAAGACTCCGTCTCAAAAAAAAAAAAAAAAAAAAATTCCTCATCCTTAGTTGTCTATATATGGATTCAGAATGGCTGTTAGCTGCAGAACTAAGCAATGGATAATGCATCTGAATAGGGATCAGTAAACAACTTTTCGTTAAGTAAAATTTATTAGCCTTTGGAAACCTACAACTGTATAGGGTCTTTAGATTTCCTTACAAATGGCATCCTCCAACTAAGTTGACTCTAGCATCGTGGTGATGTCAATTCAGCACTAATTCCTTTAGAACCATCTTGTATTTATTAAGTACAATTTTACATTTAATTTAATTTAATAAGAATTTTACTAGAGTAAGATATTTTTGTCAGAGACTCAGAATTAGCCCTCTGTGAGGAGATAACTTCTTATCTTCTTTTAACAAGCTTTTTATTTTTGTGGGAATTGAGATTGTGCAACAGATTATAAGGATTAACCAGCTGAAAATGTAATACCCACTCTGCAAGCATAAGAGAGATATTTAATCTTTACGTCTACAAGGAAAGTATTTCAAAACTCCAGGCAATTTATTTCTGATATTAGGCTCTGTATACAAATGTGCAATATAACAGACAATAAATGGGTTCAAGGAATGCCAATATTGAAAACAGAAAGTCTTAAAGAAATGTATCTGTTCATAGTGTTTTAATTTGTTTTCAAGCCCAATATATATATAATTATATAGTTTTTATATATAATTGTATCTATATTATATATAATTATATATTACATATAATTATATCTATATTATATATAATTATATATATTATATATAATTATATGTATTTTATATATAATTATAAAATTATATATAATTTGTGTAATATATAAATAATTATATATAATTATAAAATATAAAATAATTTATATTTCATATATATAATTGCTCTCTTACCCAAAAAGGTTCTCAACATTAAGGTTTGTTCAATTATAATTTCATTGAACTTCTAGTTCTACACACTGAATAACATTCTTTGAATTAAGAGTAAATACAATTTAATTACCAGTATATATTCTGGATTCCATGGCTATTAATGAAACTACTAATTGCTAACACTTATAGAAAAAATTTAATCATTGATATTGAACTCATGTGATACATTATATTTCCAGTGATGATTCTACTGAGACCATTTCTTTCAATGACTTATAGGCATTACTATTTATTAATAAAGTATTGCATCTTCCTTTTTCTATTCATAAATTATTGAAAGGATAAGAAATATTTCTAGATGCTTTGGGAAAAGAAGTATTTGACGTACCGTCTCACACCAGTCAGAATGACTATTTTTGAAAAGTCACAAAACAACAGATGCTGGAGAGGCTGCAGAGAAAAGAAATACTATATACTGTTGGTGAGAATGTAAATTAGTTCCACCACTGTGGAAAGCAGTTTAGATGTTTCTCAAATAACTTAAAACAGCTATCATTCAACCCAACAATCCCATTATTGGGTATATACCCAAAGGAAAACAGATTATTATACCCAAAAGACACATGCATATGTATGTTCATCACTGTGCTGTTTACAATAGCAAAGACATGGAATAAACCTAGGTGCCCATCAATGGCAAATTGGATACAGAAAATGTTGTACATATACACCATGGAATACCATGCAGCCATAAAAAGGAATACAATTATGTTCTTTGCAGCAAACATGGATGGAGCTGGAAGCTCTTACCCTTAGTGAATTAAAAGAGGAACATGAAACCAAATACCACATGATCTTACTAATAAGTGGAAGCTAAACATTGAGCACATATAAAATCAATAGACACTACGGACTACCAGGGTGGGGAGAGAAAGGGGGGTATGAATTGAAAAACTATCTATTGGGTGGTATGCTCACTATCTGGGTGCAATATACTCATGTAACAAAGCGGAACCCCCTATATTTCAGATATAGGACCCACTATATCTAAAAAAAAAATTGAAATAAAAAAATGAAATTGTTGACTTAAAAGTAGGATAGAGTCATCAAATAAACCAAAGCCAACATGTAGAAGAATAAAACATAGAAATATAGGAAATCACACCTTTAGCAGAGTTAAAGGCATAACAAAAATTACAACTTTGGGGAATTCTTGTTTTTAGTCAGTATTATTATTTAAAAATGTATTACAATGTGAGTAAAGCAGCTAAGCTACAAAGCTTTAAACATGCATTTTGATTATGAGGCTTATAATCTTGTAGTTAAGAGTCTCCATAGAAAAACATAATGGATCTATCTATGGTAGATCTTTGCAATAGGCAGCTATTCAGTCTTCACATAAACATTTTCAATATACACAGAACCACATAAAACAAATATAAAACTTAAAAAATATAGAAAAAAGAAAGTGTTTACCCTTGTAACTGCCACCTAAGTTAAGAAATAAAACTATGCTAGACGTGTCTAAACCTGTTCCATGTGGTCCATCCCTATCACAGCCCCATCCTTCCCTTTAAATGTAAACACTTCCTTGATTGTATAATAATTACTTTTTTGTGTTTCTTTATGTCTATCTGAACTTATTATACTTCATAGGCATCTCTACTTTTTAAGCAACAAGCTTCAATACTTTAAATCTCTGATGTTACTGTCTCTTTTTTATAATATTCTCAAATCTATCTTGCTATTACTACCAAGATTTGCTCTAGTATCCTGTAAATATACAAAATTAGACTGTTGTTTCCCATGATGCAGACTTTCAGGTAATTGAGGAGCTATCAAATAATTGAGCTTTCAAGTAATTGAGGAGCTATCAAATAATCTTTTTTCCACAGGTAAAATTATAATTTCTTAAACCTAGTTCTTAAAGTCCTCAACCCATTGTCATGAAAAAATCACCCACAGACCTAGTTAAAAATACCTATTATCAGAACTTTTTTTCAAATCCACTGAATAAAAAACTGCAAGGTAGAATACAGTTGTTATTCCTTTGCAGCTAGCTTCCCAGTTAATTATAACATGTGTTCATTTTTTTTCTAAATTCCATGTGTGGGCAACTCTGAATTGCATTAAGGATATTAGGAATGAAAATAAAATCAATTTAGGAATGTAACTTGTCTTCTTTTTATCTTACTCTTCTGTTTCCTAGTGATCTTCTCTATTTTTCTTTCCTACATTTTTTGATTTTTGCAATAGTTAAAAATAAAGCTTTCTAGATGACAAAGAAATTATGAGAAAATGTGGACAGCAAAGATCATACTAGTCTGGTTAAAGTTTGCAGAATAGACTTTTTAAAGTACAAAGATTAAGCCTTCAAATTTCCCCAACTCATTTGTGAGTATCCATAAAATAATGTGTCTGCATGACCAAGTACTGCAAAAATGAAGTCAAGGCTATCTGAGGGGATTTTGTGTAGACTTACATGGAAATGGTTCCAGTAGGAAACCCTTGCTTTGTTTTTTATTTCCATTCCTAGACTTTATTTTGTTTGAAATAGAAGTGTCTAACAACTGATAGCAGTGTTAGTAATACCATTCATCACATGACTCCCTTCACTACCCTGTCCGATATCACTCCTTAGAAAGAGAAAAATGAGGAGAAATCATAAAACCAAGAGAATGTCAAGCTGATTAATGAAAGTGTGTCAACAAGGAAAACTGAAGTCTCAAATGTGGCTGAAATGTCAAATAATGCAGAAGATATAAAAATTGTTGGATTTATTGGCATGGAAAATGCAGACACCCCCATTGAGAACTGTATTTATATAGTGAAGGTAACAATGAACAATTAGGGTAAATATATGCCTCTTTATTTTGAGCCACAAGTATTTAAGAATTTAAAATTGATTACTAGAGGAAGTCAGAGAAATGATGTTCTGGAAATAAGTCAGAATATAGTTGAAGCAAGAGAATGGAGGGAATCCTTTGAGAAGAAGAGGTCATATACAGAATGTGATCAGCTACCAATATTCCTTAGCATCAATTTAATGCAGGAGATTAGCTGTCCAAATAGCAACTAGATTTATTAGATAACTCTGCTGTTAGAAATTGCACTGAGACAAAGTTCTAGCATATGGAATATGAGTGAAAGTCTTATGTCCCCTTCCAGGACCAGCCCATGGACATCTCGGGTGCCTGCTTTTCCATGATGTTATCACTTTCTTGCTGTCTAAATGGAATGAAGACCTAGGAATCCATGTATTTTATGTGACAGAGCTTTTGTCAAACTGAGTTCTTGAGTCAATGCATGCAGGAGGGCTATCTCACTGACCTATTCACTTACCTAATACTGTTATATGAGTAAAGGTTTTATGGTCCTTAGACCAAGACCCACTTCTATGGACTAATCAAAATGGAGATAAATAATTAAGTTTAGAAACTCAGTTCTTTAAGCTTAGTGGACAGAAGACATGGTGCTTTGGACTTTTGGTGGTATAATCTGAGCATACGCAACCTGGCAAAATACAAGAATCCAATCTCAGTTCACTTATCTATGAATGCTGATGGTCCCAGCAACTCTAAGTCTTCAGATATTTGTATAAAATTGCTTAGATTTTTAGAATCAAAATATTTTTACTTTTGTTTTTCTCTAATAAAGACATAAATTTTAATTTAAAAAAGACACTAGGCCAGGCACGGTGGCTCACGCATGTAATCCCAGCACTTTGGGAGGCCAAGGCGGGCGGATCACGAGGTCAGGAGATCGAGACCATCCTGGCTAACACAGTGAAACCCTGTCTCTATTAAAAATAAAAATAAAAATAATTAGCCGGGTATGGTGATGGGCGTCTGTAGTCCCAGCTACTCGGGAGGCTGAGGCAGGAGAATCGCTTGAACCTGGGAGGCGGAGCTTGCAGTGAGCCAAGATCGCACCGCTACACTCCATCCTGGGTGACAGAGCGAGACTCTGTCTCAAAAAAAAGAAAAAAAAAAACAAAACAAAAGACACTATTGTATGCTTAACAAAGGTAAAGTAGATAGGCAAAAGCAAAACATAAAAAAGTATATATTTAAACATGCAAACATGCACACACACACATTCAAATTCACTCTTATTTGGCCACTTTAGTCTGAACTATTCTAACTCTTTAAGTTGGTTATTGGCCTAAGGACCTTGAAATCTCCTTTTTAAGTTCTGTATAGGTGGTTAAACAATTCACATTGGTAAGTAGAACCTTTTCCTCCTATTTATTTTTAGCTTTCTGTGACAACAAACATAAATGAAGATTCCCATTTTAACATCTTATTATTTATATTTTTTGGAAAATCTTTCTGGTCCTTATTCCAAACAGAAAAGGAAAGTTCTAAAAATAAATGACCAAAAAAGGTTTCAACTTTGGGGGCTTAATTGCAGGTAAAATATCTTTATAAAGAAAGAGAAAATGAAAATAGAAACAAAAGCAAAATTTTTCAAAATCTACAAGTTGCACTGTCTACAGTAACATTTATGTATCGTTGCCATTGTGTACGGACTGTTCCAAATTCAGGGTATGGTGGTACACATTGGGATGAAAAAACTATTTACAGAAATTAAAAGATTTTAATTTTTAAATTATCTGTTATTTTATGTTTTCTTATTTTTTAATAAATCAATTTATCTTATTTTTAATGGTGCAGTCTAATAATGCTTCTGGCTGAGCTAGAGGGTATAAGAATGGAATTAATTTGCTTCTGCTTAATAACTGTTGCAAAGCCTTGGTGTAAACATTTCTTATATTTGTTTGTTTGCTTATGTTAAAAATTCCAAGCAGAAAATAAGGAATCCTTGTAATACCAAATCCCTAAGTATTCTTCTTTTGAATCAACCTTATTAAGTCTACAAAATATGCAAATTAAACCCAAACAATAACAATTTGTAAATATATTGTAATCATTTATGTCTCTTAAAATTGAAAATGAGTCAGAGGAATTCTCCATTTAGCAATGTTTTCAAAGTCATACTTTATCTTTAACTTTAATACTTTCAACTTTATTACAAACTCCACTGTGAGTAACCTCTTAGAAGTAAGCCCTATAAACATGTAGGCATACTTCTGAAAATAAAGTAAAATAAACAATTGTTTTTAATTTGCAATTTTTCCTCAAAGAGGTCAAGAAAAGTAGTAGTAAATAAATGGTAAATAATGCCTAAGATGTAGAAATGAGAGTCTGTCTATATCAAAAGTATAAAGAAATCATTGTTCTTTATTATATTGTTTTCAAAACACACATAATCACATTTTTAAATGAAAAGGAAACTATTTCAGAAATATGGTATTGTCAGTTAATACATGTTTAACTCAAGTTTATGTAGCTTACTTTGTTATTTCTATCATTTATTACAACTTGATAATATTTTTGTTTGTGGTAAAAGTTATACATTTAGGGCACAGCCATTTATTTGTTTATTTTATTTTTTTTTTTTTTACAAAATTAGTTTTCAGTACTTATGATTTGCCATACACTATAAAGCACTGGAGCTAGAAAAAAGAACTTGTTTGAAGAAAACTTTTTCTTTCTGAAGCTTAACTTCTAATGATATACATAAAGATAAACAAGTGGATAAGTAAGTAACTAATATAACACAATTCAATTATATTATAATTTACACAAGTAAATTTCAGGTTGTGATAGTTAAGACCTTAGCGTTCCTTTCTCTAAAAACAAAATCTCAAATCCTTTCAATGGTCTACCAGGACAGAAAGGATTCTCCATCATCCTCTGAATCATCCTAATTAAGACGATTCTCCCTCCCTCACTATACTCCAAACACTATACTACAAATAAATTCCAAGTAGGAAAGTAGATGGAGAGCAACTGGGTTGGGAAGACAGGCTACTAGTTAAGGAAGGAAATCAGGACAAAAGTTTCACTTGGTAAAATTCAAGCAGAATCCTGCACCATGAAAAAGAGCCGGCCATGTGAAGATCTGAGAGAGGCCCATTCTAGGAGGAGACCAGTTGACTAGATGCCCTAAGATGAGAATGAGGTTGTCCTGAATGAGGAAATGCAACAAGGTTAGTGTGCTTGGAGTACACTGTGGGAGAGGGACAGTGTTCAAGTAGCAGCATTCAGAGGATGATAGAGAAGAATCCTTTATGTACTTGTAGACCATTGCAAAGGTTTGAGACTTTGTCCTTAGAGAATGGGAAGCCAGAGTTTTAAATGTGTGAGGGTGATATAATTGTAGTTATATTCTAAAATATAAAAGTTCACTCCAGATGGTATATGAAGAATGGATCTATGGAGAAGGATGGGGCAAGAGTAAATATATGGAACTCAGTTTAAAAATTAATGAGTGGTCAACATAAAAAATTGTGATCATTTGCACCAGGGAGAGGTTAGTAGAATGTTAGTAAATTACAGATTATGATGGTTAATTTTATGTGTCAACTTGTATCTACTTGGAAAGGCTATGGTGCCCAGTTGTTTGGTAAAACACCAGTCTAGATGTTGCTGTGAAGCTATTTTTTAAGATGTGATCAAAATTTAAATCAGCACACCTTGAGTGAAGCAAAAAACAAAAACTCCAACTTCAGTGCTCTTGACATGTAATGCTTTTCTTCACATAGAAAAATGAGACTGTAAAGATTTTACAATGATTAGTCATGCAGGGTAACGTTAGCAACAGTATTTACTATTGAAAAATGAGGAAGTTTATCAGGTGAGTATGCAAAACATATTTATTATAATAATGTGAATAATTCATTTCAATTGCAATTCTGCAACATTTATGTTTTTACACATTAAGAAAAACTTTATTAAGAAGGGATATGCTAGTTAAATTTTATTAGAATACTTCATCAATGTATAGGTATCTCACATATATCAAAAATAAACTAAAAATAAGATTTAAATTTATGTATAAATTTTAGTATTTTTTATTTTTTTAAAAAAGGGCTAGATTTTTTTCTTGTTTTGTCTATGTGATATTTTATTAGTTTTTGAGGATTGCCATAGCAAAGAGCACAAACAGGGTAGCTGAAACAACAGAATGTGTTGTCTTGCAGTTCTGGAGGCTAGAAGTCAAAGATCATGGAATTAGGAGCATTTCTTCCTTCTGACGCCTCTCCCCTGGTTTCTGGAGGTTTTAGCCAATTTTGGGGCATTCCTTGGCTGGTAGAGCATCACCTCAATCTCTACTTTTTAGTTCACATGATGCTCTCACTATGTGTATGTCTCTGTCCAGTTGTCCCCCTTTTATAAGAATCCCAGTCATCTTGGTTTGGAGTCTATGCTAATCACTTCATTTTAACTGGATTACTTCTCTAAATACCCTGTCTTCAAAGAAAGTCACATTTTGACTTACTGGCGTTGACTTTAATCCATACATTTTTGCGGGACAGAATTCAATCCAATATAATCTCTTTTGACTCCCCCCAATTTATGCCCTTCTCACATGCAAGACACATTCACACCATGCCAACACTCCCAAAAATCTTAACTCATTCCAACATCAAGTCTAAATATAAAATCCCATCTAAATATTATTTAAATCAGACATGAGTGAAACTCAGGCTCTGACTTATCCTGAAGCAAATTGTTCTCCATCTGTAAAACTATGAGCCAGACAAGTTATCTTCCTTCAAAATATACTGCTGCTATAGGAGTAGAATAGACATTTCTATACCAAAAGAGAGAAGTTGGAAGGAAAAAGTAAGAGTTGCCTATCCCAAACAATTGTAAAACTAGGCAGGATAAAACCCATTAGATTTTAAGTCTTTTAATAATTATCCTTGGCTTGCTAATCCTATGGCAGAGAGGCAGCTCAGTACTCCCGGATCTGGACTATACTCCCTACCCCCGAGATGCCTCCTAGAGAGGTAGCCCAGTTTCCCAGGCTGTCCGTGGAAGTCTGCCCTCTGGAACCTCAAAGAGGTGGCCCTGCTCTGTGGATCTATGGCTCTGATCTCAAAGTCATTTTTCCTTCACTGATTCTGTTCCCATTATTCCTTTATTTCACCCCTTCTATGTCTTTATCAGTCCAGGCAGGCAGCGTTTCTGCTGTTTCAGAATTTTCAGAAATCTTGTCTACTTCCCATGCAATTCACAGAGGTTCAAGACATCACACAAGAGAGGCCTCCACACACCTTTCATGAATCACTATGTCTGTATTCCTGGCTTCTACTGACATGGTTGATTGGATCCTTGCATTATACACCTAAATCACTTTAGCAAGCAGTTGTCCAGCTGCATCCTTGGCCCTGTTTCCACGGTATGCGATCTGAATAAGCCAAAATCTTACAAATTATTGTGCTAATTTCTTCTTGCTTAGCAATTGATCTTTCAATGGACTTCTCACCTCTCACATTTCACTACAAGCAGCAAGTAGAAACCACACCATGCCTTCAACACTTTGCTTAGAAATCTCATCTAGGCCAGATGCAGTGGTTCACACCTGTAATCCAAGCATTTTCAGAGGCCAAGACAGAAATATCTCTTGAGAATAGGCATTCCAGACCAGTCTTGGCAACATAGCAACACCCCCATCATTAAAGAGGGGGAAAAAATTATCTGGGCATAGCGGTGCATGCGTATAGTCCCAGCTACATGGGATGCTGAGGTGGGAGGATCACTTGAGCCCAGGAGTTTGAGGCTGCAGTGAGCTATGATTGTGTCACTGCACTCCAGCCTGGGCAACAAAGCAAGACTCCATATCTAATAAATAAGTAAATAAATAAATAAATAAATAATGTTCTCATCTAAATATGCCACTTTTCCACTTACCAGTTCTATTTTCCATCTCAATCAATTCATATGTTATTTGAGCAAGGTTCACCTTTCCTTCAGTTTCCATTAATATATTCCTTATTTCCATTGGAGACTTCATCGGAATCCCCTTTAACATTTATATTTCTAGCAACATTATTTTCATGACTAGACATTCTTTAAAATGATGGGAACTTTGTACCTTTCCTCTTTTCTTTCTGAGCCATCACTAGAATTGCCTCTAATGTCCATAGTTTTACTAACAGTCTCTTCAATGCAATGTAGGCTTTTTCAAATCATGCATCTCAAAATTCTTACAGCTTCTACTCATTATCCAATCCCAAACTACCTCTATATTTTTCAGTATTTGTTACAGCTGCACTCTGCTTCTCAGTTTCAAAAATCTGTATTGGTTTGCTAGAGTTGTGTTAACAAACTCCTACAAACACATGGTTTAAACATCAGACACTGATAGCTTCACAGTTCTGGAGGCTAGAAGTCCATGATCAAGATATTGGCATGGTTGGTTTCTCATGAGAGCCGGGGAAAAGAGTCTGTTCCACATTTACCCAAAACTTCTGGTGGTTTGTCAGAAATCTTTGGTGTTCCTTGGCTTATAGACTGTCACCCCGTCACTGCCTTTTTCTTCACATGGCATTGTTTTTATAAGGACACTAATGATATTAGATTAGAGTTCACCCTAATTACCTTATTTTAACTGAATTAACTTTTCTTTCTTTCTTTTTTTTTTTTTCTGAGGCAGAGTCTCTCTCTGTTGTCCAGGCTGGAATGCAGTAGTGTCATCTCAGCTCACTGCAACCTCTGCCTCCTGGGTTAAAGTGATTCTCGTGCCTCTGCCACCCAAATAGTTGAGACTACGGGTGCTTGCCACCACGCCGGGCCAATTTTTGTATTTTCAGTAGAGACGGAGTTTCGTCATGTTGGCCAGGTGGGTCTAGAATTCCTAGCCTAAAGTGATCCGCCCACCTCAGCCTCCCAAAGTTCTGGGATTATAGGTATGAACCACCACAACTGGGCTGGATTAGCTTTTTGGATTACAATTTGTTTATATCCATGAGATGGAATTAGCTAACTAAATTTGAAATAAGATATATTTTTATAATTAATTTATTTTTGTAACATTAAATATTACAATGCAAACAGTTCTCTGTAACTAACTGAACTATTCTTTCAGCTTTTGATGAGACCACAAATCATTTGCTTCCTCTTCCTCTACCTGAACAGAAAGACATCTTCAAAGTTAATTTTTCTGTCCTTATTTATATTTATCTAATTTGCAGCTTTTCTACTTGTATATTACAGTCTGATTCTTTCAGAAAAATTCCTCAAAAAATTTCAACTTCCTATATAATAGCATTTTCAAAATTTATTTTCACATTTTGCTCTATTTTTACTCTTAATATTAATACTTTAATATTAGTATTAATAGTAATATTAGAATAAGCACTATGAATATTTCTTATAAAACTCCCCTTCAGTTAATTAGATGGCATTACACTTTCTTTTCTCTAAATTCCTCCTCCTTCAATTCACTGCCTACATTTCAGATGTTATCTGACTTTTATTTTTACTATAATAACTCTTTCCCTGCCAAGTCATGTCCCCATGTAATTTGCACCCAATAAACCCTTTGCTGCAATTGTGTTCTAAACCTCAATCTATATTTTGATTGTTTGGTTCCAATAATTCAAAAGGCTAGCTGGATCTCTGTCACATGATGACCTCAAATATATTGTCCATTACAAAACAAAATTCCACATAACAGTTCCTTCTCCTGACCTCACTTTTACTGTTGATGCCATCTAGCTTGACCTTAGAGTCATGCAGATTCTTTCACCTGTCTTAGTTCATAACTTTTATGCCATCACGAGTCATAAATTCTTTTTCATACAGCAGTTCATATCTAAACCTCATTTCTACATCTATGAATAAAATGTTAGTACAGGTGCCTCCTAGTTAGGATGCTTTACTATTATCCTTCCTACTCTCCCTTCTTGTGATTTGTCTCCTCCTGTCTCTCCTCGCAGCATCATCAAGTCAATTTAACTAAATGTAATTGGCTGATTTATCAAGATATCTTTTAGATGCATAGATCTACTTTCGTGTTTTCAAGAAACAACTTGTAGATGGGTGGTAGGTGACTAAATGTAGGTATAATACTACTTACAAGTACCAAAATAGAAACATGCCTACTTACACTGTGATTCAGGCAAATCAGAATTTCTTCCTGGGGATGCAGAGTAAATTACATGGCTGGAAATGGAAGATGAGTGGGAATCTGGCTGTTGGAGAAGCAGATTCCAAGGAGTAGATAAGTCAAGTGCAAATGCATTGTGGCATCCAAGTATGTGCAAATTTTGTGAGCAGCAGGTAGTTGCCAATGCTAGAAAGAAAGCAGAGCTTGAATTGGAAAATACCTCCAGTTGTCTGGAAGTTTGATGGAAATGTATGTCACAAAACAGGGAGATAAGTAAAATGAGGGTTAAAGGTACCAAAATTAATGTAATGAATTCCAAAAAGCACTTCCAGATTTAGCTCTGAGATGGAAAGAGGCCAAAACGCATCAGTTCCATCCTTACAATAAAAAAGTGAAAAAAATGAAAATTAATAACTTGTTAAACCCATCAGAGAACTGTCGTCACAGAACAACATTATTCCCAAATCTGGAGAGTCTGACACATCTGGAGAAACTGATTGGAGTACTCAAAGTAACATTTTGAATTGTTGGAAGTTGCATCTGGACAAGCATAACAGTGAAAAACACCTCAGGACTGGAGAGTTAGAGGATGCCACCCTTTCATGACATTATTCCTAAAGAATTTCTTTTTTTATATTTTATTTTATTTTTATTATACTTTAAGTTCTAGGGTACATGTGCACAATGTGCAGGTTTCTTACATATGTGTACATGTGTTGTGTTGGTGTGCTGCACCCATTAACTCGTCATTTACATTAGGTATTTCTCCTAATGTTATCCCTTCCCCCTCCCCAACCCCATGACAGGTCCCAGTGTGTGATGTTCCCCACCATGTGTCCAAGTGTTCTCATTGTTCAATTCCCACCTATGAGTGAGAACATGTAGTGTTTGGTTTTCTATCCTTGTGACAGTTTGCTCAGAATGATGGTTTCCAGCTTCATCCATGTGCCTACAAAGGACATGAACTCATCCCTTTTTATGGCTGCATAGTAATCCATAGTGTATATGTGCCACATTTTCTTAATCCAGTCTATCATTAATGGACATTTGGGTTGGTTCCAAGTCTTTGCTCTTGTGAGTAGTACCACAATAAACATATGTGGGCATGTGTCTTTATAGCAGCATGATTTATACTCCTTTGGGTATATACCCAGTAATGGGATGGGTGGGTCAAACGGTATTTCTAGTTCTAGATCCTTAAGGAAACACTACACTGTCTTTCACAGTGGTTGAACTAGTTTACAGTCCCACCAACAGTGTAAAAGTGTTCTGATTTCTCCACATCCTCTCCAGCACCTGTTGTTTCCTGACTTTTTAATGATCGCCATTCTAACTGGTGTGAGATGGTATCTCATTGTGGTTTTGATTTGCATTTCTCTGATGGCCAGTGATGATGAGCATTTTTTCATGTGTCTGTGGGCTGCATGAATGTCTTCTTCTGAGAAGTGTCTGTTCATATCCTTCCCTCACTTTTTGATGGGGTTGTTTGATTTTTTCTTGTAAATTTGTTTGAGTTCTTTGTAGATTCTGGATATCAGCCCTTTGTCAGATGGGTAGATTGCAAAGATTTTCTCCCATTCTGTAGGTTACCTGTTCACTCTGATGGCAGTTTTCTTTTGCTGTGCAGAAGCTCTTTAGTTTACTTAGATCCCATTTGTCAATTTTGGCTTTTGTTGCCATTGCTTTTGGTGTTTTAGTCCTGAAGTCCTTGCCCATGCCTATGTCCTGAATGGAATTTCCTGGGTTTTCTTCTAGAGTTTTTATGGTTTTAGGTCTAACATTTAAGTCTTTAATCCATTTTGAATTAATTTTTATATAAGGTGTAAGGAACGGATCCAGTTTCAACTTTCTACATATGGCTAGCCAGTTTTCCCAGCACCATTTATTACATAGGGAATCCTTTCCCCATTTCTTGTTTTTGTCAGGTTTGTCAAAGATCAGATGGTTGTAGATGTGTGGTATTATTTCTGAGGGCTCTGTTCTGTTCCATTGGTCTATATCTCTGTTTTGGTACCAGTGTCATGCTGTTTTGGTTACTGTAGCCTTGTAGTATAGTTTGAAGTCAGGTAGCATGATGCCTCCAGCTTTGTTCTTTTGGCTTAGGATTGTCTTGGCAATGCAGGTTCTTTTTTGGTTCTATATGTACTTTAAAGTGGTTTTTTTCCAATTCTGTGAAGAGAGTCATTGGTAGCTTGATGAGGATGGCATTGAATCTATAAATTACCTTAGGCAGTATGGCCATTTTCACGATATTGATTCTTCCTGTCCATGAGCATGGAATGTTCTTCCATTTGCTTGTGTCCTCTTTTATTTCATTGAGCAGTGGTTTGTAGGTCTCCTTGAAGAGGTCCTTCACATCCCTCGTAAGTTGGATTCCTCAGTATTTGATTCTCTTTGAAGCAATTGTGAATGGGAGTTCACTCATGATTTGGCTCTCTATTTGTCTGCTATTGGTGTATAGGAATGTTTATGATTTTTGCACATTGATTTTGTATCCTGAGACTTTGCTGAAGTTGCTTATCAGCTTAAGGAGATTTTGGGCTTGAGATGATGGAGTTTTCTAAATATAATCATGTCTTCTGCAAACAGGGAAGATTTGACTTCCTCTTTTCCTAATTGAATTCCATTTATTTCTTTCTCCTGCCTGATTGTCCTGGCCAGAACTTCCAACACTATGTTTAACAGGAGTAGTGAGAGAGGGCATCCTTGTCTTGAGCCAGTTTTCAAAGGGAATGCTTCCAGTTTTTGCCCATTCAGTATGATATTGGCTGTGGGTATGTCATAAACAGCTCTTATTATTTTGAGATACATCCCATCAATACCTAGTTTATTGAGAGTTTTTAGCATGAAGGGCTGTTGAATTTTGTCAAAGGCCTTTTCTTCATCTATTGAGACAATCACGTGGTTTTTTTCTTTGGTTCTGTTTATATGCTGGATTACATTTATTGATTTGCATATGTTGAACTAGCCTTGCATCCCAGGGATGAAGCCAACTAGATCATGGTGGATAAGCTTTTTGATGTGCTGCCGGATTCGGTTTGCCAGTATTTTATTGAGGATTTTTGCATCAATGTTCATCAGGGATATTGGTCTAAAATTCTCTTTTTTTGTTGTGTCTCTGCAAGGCTTTGGTATCAGGATGATGCTGGCCTCATAAAATGAGTTAGGGAGGATTCCCTCTTTTTCTATTGATTGGAGTTGTTTCAGAAGGAATGGTACCAGCTCCTCTTTGTACCTCTGATGGAATTCGGCTGTGAATCCATATGATCCTGGACTTTTTTTTGGTTGGTAGGCTGAGGGTCCTGACTGTTAGAAGGAAAACTAACAAATATAAAGGACATCCACACCAAAACCCCATCTGTAGGTCACTATCATCAAAGACCAAAGGTAGATAAAACCACAAAGATGGGGAGAAAAACAGAGGAGAAAAGCTGAAAATTCCAAAAATCAGAGTGCCTCTTCTCCTCCAGAGGAATGCAGCTCCTTGCCAGCAATGGAACAAAGGTGGACGGAGAATGACTTTGACGAGTTCACAGAAGTAGGCCTCAGAAGATCAGTAATAACAAACTCCTCTGAGCTAAAGGAGGATTTTCGAACCCATTACAAAGCAGCTAAAAACCATGAAAAAAGATTAGATGAATGGCTAACTAGAATAAACAGCATAGAGAAGACCTTAAATGACCTGATGGAGCTGAAAACCATGGCATGAGAACTAAATGATGCATGCACAAGCTTCAGTAGCCGATTCAATCAAGGGGAAGAAAGGGTATCAGTGATTGAACATCAAATGAATGAAATGAAGTGAGAAGAGAAGTTTAGAGAAAAAAGAGTAAAAAGAAATGAACAAAGCCTCCAAGAAATATAGGACTATGTGAAAAGAGCAAGTCTACATCGGACTGGTGTACCTGAAAGTGACAGGGAGAATGGAACCAAGTTGGAAAACACTCTTCAGGATATTACCCGGGAGAACTTCCCCAACCTAGCAAGGCAGGCCAACATTCAAATTCAGGAAATACAGAGAAAGCCACAAAGATACTCCTTGAGAAGAGCAACTCCAAGACACATAATTGTCAGATTCACCAAAGTTGAAATGAAGGAAAGAGGTCAACCAGAGAGAAACGTTGGGTTACCCACAAAGGGAAGTCCATCAGACTAACAGCAGATCTCTTGGCAGAAACTCTACAAGCCACAAGAGAGTGGGGGCCAATATTCAACATTCTTAAAGAAAAGAATTTTTAACCCTGAATTTCGTATCCAACCAAACTAAGCTTCATAAGTGAAGGAGAAATAAAATCCTTTACAGACAAGCAAATACTGAGAGATTTTGTCACCACCAGGCCTGCCTTACAACAGCTCCTGAAGGAAGCACTAAACATGGAAAGGAACAACCAGTACCAGCCACTGCAAAAACATGCCAAATTGTAAAAATCATCAATGCTAGAAAGAAACTGCACTGACTAATGAGCAAAATAACCAGCTAACATCATAATGAAAGGATCAAATTCACACATAACAGTATTAACCTTAAATGTAAATGGGCTAAATGCTCCAATTAAAAGATACATACTGGCAAATTGGATAAAGAGTCAAGTCCAATCAGTGTGTTGTATTCAGGAGACCCATCTCACATGCAGAGACACACATAGACTCAAAATAAAGGGTTAGAAGAAGATCTACCAAGCAAATGCGAAACAAAAATAAGCAAGGTTTGCATTCCTAGTCTCTGATAAAACAGACTTTAAACCAACAAAGATCAAAAGAGACAAGGCCATTACATAATGGTAAAGGGATCAATTCAACAAGAAGAGCTAACTATCCTAAATATTTATGCACCCAATACAGGAGCACCCAGATTCATAAAGCAAGTCCTTAGAGACCTACAAAGAGACTTAGACTCCCACACAATAATAATGGGAGACTTCAATACCCCACTGTCAACATTAGACAGATCAATGAGACAGAAAGTTAACAAGGACATCCAGGAATTGAACTCAGCTCTGCAATAAGCAGACCTAATAGACATCTACAGAACTCTCCACCCCAAATCAACAGAATATACATTCTTCTCAGCACCACATTGCACTTATTCCAAAATTGACTACATAGTTGGAAGTAAAGCACTCCTCAGCAAATGTAAAAGAAGAGAAACTATAACAAACTGTCTCTCAGACCACAGTGCAATCAAATTAGAACTCAGGATTAAGAAACTCACTCAAAACTGCACAACTACATGGAAACTGAACAACTTGCTCCTGAATGATTACTACGTACATAATGAAATGAAGGCAGAAATAAAGATGTTATTTCAAACCAATGAGAACAAAGACACAACATACCAGAATCTCTGGGACACATTTAAAGCAGTGTGTAGAGGGAAATTTATAGCACTAAATGCCCACAAGAGAAAGCAGGAAAGATCTAAAATTGACACCCTAACATCACAATTAAAAGAACTAAAGAAGCAAGAGCAAACACATTCAAAAGCTAGCAGAAGCCAATAAATAACTATGATCAGAGCTGAACTGAAGGAATTAGAGACACAAAAAACTCTTCAAAAAATCAATGAATCTAGGAGCTGGTTTTTTGGAAAAGATCAACAAAATTGATAGAGCACTAGTAAGACTAATAAAGAAGAAAAAGGAGAAGAATCAAATAGACGCATTAAAAAATGATAAAAGGTATATAACCACCGATCCCACAGAAATACAAACTACCATCAGAGAACACTATAATCACCTCTATGCAAATCAACTAGAAAATCTAGAAGAAATGGATAAATTTCTGGACACATACACCCTCCCAAGACTAAACCAGGAAGAAGTCGAATCCCTGAATAGACAAATAACAGCCTCTGAAATTGAGGTATTCCCAAAGAATTTCAACAGGTTTTCATGGTAAAGATGGGAGAACAAAACTCTACTTCAGGGTGGAGAGGAAGAATAATCACTGTGAAATGCAGTCACAGCATTCATCATAAGCAAGGCATAGTCTCTAGGGTCAGCTATTTTACCAGCACTTTCTCATTGCCTGGATAAGGGATCTGTTTCTCTCTCCAGGCCTGTCTCACCTTTCTTCTCTCTCATGGGGAAAAATAAATATACAGTCATCAGAGGTCAAGGAAATAGCATATGTTACAGCCTGTGAAAGGAAAAAGTTATGCCACTGGAGAAGCAATTATGAAGGACACAGCACCAAGATGAGACGCACTAAGAGAATGAGTTTTAAATGCAAGATAATAGAACAGTCCCTCTCTCTGACCTGCCACCAAACCAATCTGACTCTAATATAACTATGGACTAATGTTAAAAGACCTGAAAGACACAGACTTTCTGAGGAGTACTTAGGAAAGACCAAAGTCAAAAGGAGGAAGGAGGAAATAAACAAAGAACCAAAACAAAACAAAACACAAAGATAATAGAGGTATTTTAAACTTTGTGTACCTATAACTATTGATATGGTTTGGCTGTGTCCCCACCCAAATCTTATCTTGAATTATAGTTCCCATAATCCCCACATGTCATCACATGTCACGGAAGGGACCAGGTGGAGACTCTGGTCTTAATGTGTTACAGACTCTAATAGAAAAATATAAAAGATGTTACAACCGATAGGTACTAAAAGCAGAAAAACTAAAATTCTGAAAGTGAATCAAAATAAAATGCTAGAAATTAAAAATCATGTGACAGAAATGAGAACTGCTTAATAAGTAGACTAGACACAGCTTAGAAAATAATCAGGGTTGTTGATTGTATGTAAGTAGAAACATCCCAAACTGAAATGTAAATAGCAAAAAGAATAAAAGAAAAATATGAAGGTCAAATAAAAACGATATACAAGATGTAGGCTGGGCATGGTGACTCACATCTGTAATATCAGCACTTTAGGAGGCTGGTTGGGGAGGGGTGGATCACTTGAGGCCAAGAATTTGAGACCAGTGCGGCCAACATGGCAAAACTCCATGTCTACTAAAAAATGCAGAAATTAGCCTAGTGTGGTGACACAGTCCTGTGATCCCAGCTACTTAGATGGCTGAGGCAGGAGAATCACTTGAACCCAGCAGGCAGAGGTTCAAGTGAAGCAAGCTGAGAGTGTGCCATTGCACTCCAGCAAGACTGTCTCAAAAAAGAAAATTAAAGAAAATCCAAGAAATGTGGGGCATTATCAAAAGTTGTAAGACATATATAATGTGATGAGCAGATGGAGAAGTAAGAGAGAGCAGAACAGAATAAATTTTTCGAATGATAATGTCAAAGAACTTTCTAAAATTAATGGCAGACACCAAGTCATTGATAGAAGCAGCTCAGAGAACACTAAGCAGGCTGAATATCAAAAAACAACACAAATCATTTTATCACATCAAAACCATTGTACATAAAATATAAAAAATAAATCTTGAAGGTTAGGGGGCACTTTATATTATAATATAAAGAAAAATATATAGAATATAAAGAATGATACGGGTAAGAATTGCAGCAAACCTAACATCAGACACCGCGTAATCATCAAGAAAGGAGTGAAATATTTACAGTGTTATAAGAGTAAAGAAAACAAAAACAAATAACTTATAATTCTGTATTTAATGGTGATATGGTTTGACTGTGTCCCCAGACAAATCTCATCTTGAATTGTAGCTCCCATAATCTCCACCTGTCATGGGAGGGATCCAGTGGGAGGCAATTGAATCATGGAGGAGGTTTTTTCCCATGGTGTTCTCGTGATAGTGAATAAGTCTCATGAAAGCTGATGGTTTCATAAAGGGCAGTTCATCCGCACACACTCTCTTGTCTTTTGCCATGTAGAATGTCACTTTGCTCTTCCTTTGCCTCCTGCCATAATTGTGGGGCCTCCCCAACCATGTGGAACTGTGCATCCATTTAACCTATTTTTCTTTACAAATTACCCAGTCTTAGTCTTTATTAGCAGTGTGAGAACAGACTAATACAAATGGAATCATCATTCAAAAATGAATGATAAGTAATACAAATGAGTAATTCAATGCCAGAAAGCCTGCCCAACATTTTCTGCAGGAAATGTTAAAAGAAGTTCTCCAGACAGAAGGAAAATAATATAAGAAGAGAAAACTTTGCCTCGAAGAAGAGAGAACTCTTCTTCCAGACTGCCTTTGGATTAGTAATGTAACATCAACTCTCTTAAATCTGCAGACTGTCAGACTGCCTAGTAATAAAAAAAAGTTCTGCATAAAGAGAAAGATAAGTAGAGAAGGAATAAATGAAAGGAAAATAACGTTTTTACTCCTAATTTATATAAAACTTAATAATTTGCTTAAAGCAATGATAATAACCTGATGACTTTTGCATATCAAGAAGTGAAATGGCCAACAGTAATATCACAAGAGATGAACGTGAGGAATTTGGAATATTCTGGAATGACCTACACTTGAGGCTACTTAGTGCTATTTGAAAGTTGACTTAAATTAATTAACTAAAGATGTATTATAAATTCCAGAGTAACTAATAAAAATGAGAAATAATTTATACGCCAGGAGAGGAGACAGAATGGAATCATATAAAATGCTCAATTAAAACCAGAAAAGTCACAAAAATAGTAAAGGTGGGGGATAGAATCCAGGACCAGGAAATGGGCATTAGGCAACAAAAACAAAAACAACAACAAAATTTGAATAGAATTATAGACTGTAGTTAATAGTAGTGCATTTGTATTGGTTCATTAATTATGAAAAATGTACCCTATTAATAAAATATATGAATAATAGAGAAAACTGATAAATATAGGAACTGTATGCAGTATATTCAAAATTTTATATCAATTTAAATCTATTTCAAAATAAGTTTATTTAAGAAGTGGAAAAATTATGGAAGTGTAAAAGCCATAAGATAGCTATAATAACTTTGAAAAAGAAGCAGCAGTTTAGATAAATTCTGTTACCTGACATCAAGACTTTATTGTTGGCCAGGTGTGGTGGCTCACGCCTGTAATCCAAGCATTTTGGGAGGCCCAGCTGGGCGGAGCACCTGAGGTTGGGAGTTGGGCACCAGCCTGGTCAACATGGTTAAACCCCGTCTCTACTAAAAATACAAAAACTTTGCTGGGCTTGGTGGTGCCTGCCTGTAATCTCAGCTACTTGGGAAGCTGAGGCAGCAGAAATGCTTGAACCCGGGAGGTAGAGGTCGCAGTGAGCCAAGATCACACCACTGCACTCCAGCCTAGACAACAAGAGTGAAACTTCATTTCAAAAACAACAACAACAACAACAAAAAAAAACACTTTATTGTAAAGCTATATGTGAAGCAGATCATTAGAACAGAATAAAGTGTAAAGTAATAGACCCAAGTTTTGAAAAACAATAGATTTTTGACAAAATATGTCCTTAAAGTGGTGTAGTTATACAACCATTAATTGTTGTAAAAATACATAAATCAATATAGCATAAAGTTCATTATATTTTAAATGAAACTGCAAAGTCTAAAGCACTTGATAACTAGTTCTATTTCCTAATAGGATATACATATGTGTATACTTTTTCTAGAGGATTCATACAGACACACAAATGTACATACACAATAGACTGGATTGTTCATTTTAGGAACTTCAAATTGCTATTACCTGCAATTTGTTTTGCTTTTAGTGGACTGCTTCTGTTTATTTTATTGAATAAATACGTACTCTAATATAAGTAAAAACAAAACATTTAATTATTATATTACCAATATTGATAGTATAATAGTATTTTAAAAATATATATGTGGGTTGCATAGAGACTGGAAGATAAAATCCAAATATTAGCAATGAAAGGTGAAGCTACAGATAATTATTTTGTCTTACAGATTTTTGTCATTGTGCATATCCAATATTTTTACATTGAGTATATTTTGCTTTAAAAAATATTCAGAGCAATATTTACTGTTTTTTTGTTTTGTTTTGTTTTTTACAAACTCTCAAAAAAGCAGCCCAAAACTAAGCAAGAGAAGAAGGAAGAATACATTTTTAAAAAGAAAGTAGAGACTTTTTATGAAGAAGGGATTAGGCAATGGGATCAAATTCTGCAAATAATTTATATAAGGTAAAAAATTTTTTAAATGATATGAAGTGATTTTTGTTTTGAAGTAATTAGTTATTTTTGCCACAGTAGTTTCAGTAAAACAGTGGAAGGACACAATAAATTATTCTTTGTTTGACAATAAATTAGATACAAGAAAATAGGAATAAAGAGTCCTCGAGTTATCTCAAGAAGTAAAGGGATTTGAGTAATTAAATATGCAATTGTGATAAAAAGAAAATGATATAGAGAAGGCCTATAGGAAATAGAAGTGATTGGGATTCTGTATGAGTCTGCTCTGAAAAGGAATAAAATATTACTTATATTGATATGAGATTTTTAAAAGGAAGAAATTGAGGTAAAAAATAACTGAGTCTGTTCGCTACAGATTTCTTGAGGTTAACATTAGATTATTCACGAATCTCTTATCATAGGCCTGCCGACTCAAAACTGTTCAATGTCTCTCAATTATTAAAATAAGTAGAAGTCCCTCCTACAGTCGTCTTGTGATGGCTAATTTTATGGGTCAACTTGACTAGGCCATGGTAGCCAGATATTTGGTCTAGATTGCTGCCATGATGGTAATTTTTAGATGAAATTAACATTTATATCACTAGACTGAATAAAGCAGATTATTTTAGGTAATGTGGGTGAGATGAAAGTCTGTTGAAAGTCGTAAGTGAAAAAAAAAAAAAAAACTAAGGAAGAGAGAACTCTACCTCTCTGCCTTTGGATTGGAGAAACAACATCAACTCTTCCTTAAATCTGCAGCCTGTCAGACTGCCCAGAGGATTTTGAACTTGCCACCTTCCACAATCACATAAGCAAGTTCCTTAAAACAAATGTCTGTCTCTCACTCTCTGTATATACATGCACCTTTTGGTTCTGGTTTTCTAGGGGAAGAACTGTAGTATACTACCTTTCATGTTTTACATCTGAGTATTTGTATAGAGAAGCCTCTGATTTCCCCTAAAATATATTACTTGCATTTTCCAAACACATTCAATAATAATAATAATAATAACAATAATAATAATAATATTGCCACTAAATCTATTATCTGTATAGGTACTTTCCACCAAGACTAGCTGTCTATATTCATGTCTTTTCTAAATACCCATCTAACAAATCATTTTTCCCTGTACTTTCACCGATTCATCCAAAACAATCATATTTGTTATGTAGTGCCCAATTTTAGAGACCTATATAATTCTTCAAACATTATCCCATTCTGTAACCTATTATCAGTATTTTACTTCTCTATCAGTATGCTTTGCATATCTTATGTTGAAATAAAAATAACTTCGTAATATCAGTGGCTTGCATCAGTAGAAGTTTTATTTGTTTGGTGATTGCTTGTTTGCTTTAACTCTTATTTTATGTTCTTCATGAGTAATCTCTGGCTCTCCTTATCTGGGACCAAAGTTGAAGGAGCTCCGCCTACTTGGTTTATCTTGGTTTTATAGATAACAACAAAGAAATAGTAAGTTTCCAATCGCCTGATGTCTCTTTAAGCTTCTGATCATAAGAGGTACATGTCAAATCAACTCACATTTCTTTGGATAAAGGAACTTAAGGGACCAAATCATTATAAATCTCACCCAGCATCTCTGGTGCATAGTATATTGTTTCTTTATTGCTTAACAAGAATTGGATTCATGCAGCATATTAATAGGAAATTTTTGTCAATTGCTTGTAATAGAACGTAAGTTTAGATAAAAAGCAAATTGTGTAAAATTAATGTATGTTTTCTAATAGCATGTAACCTAGGGGCAGAAATTAGCCAGATATCAGAAACAAACTGGAAATAACTGAAAAAATTGATAAAGATATAGATATATTTTGGGGGATATTTTTTCATTTATATTGGGTCTATATTTTTTTTCTTATTTTTCTTGAAACTATAGCTAGTTCTATCTTTCTCTCATTCTCTCTGTCTCAATCAACCTTTTCTACATAATGGAGCAAGGCTGATCAACAGGTACTTCATTTTTATATCACATATGCTTTAAGCTACTTATAGGAACTGTTTCTGAATCCAAAATCCAGATGTTTAGGATTGAGTACCTTATTGTGTTCTCATTTCTCAAGAGTATACTCTTAGCCCAGTCAACTATGGCCAGGTGATTGTTTTCAAACCTAACTGCTGACCTCTTCCTTTATAGAAGATCAATTCTAAACAAAGAGTTCATAAGTCATAGCTTGGCAAACATCCTGAAAAGAGTGTATTATGATTGCACTGAGAGTCTAGGGGAAAAAAACTGCTGTGTCCTATCAATCCTTAAAATGTCTTCAACATTTATTTTCTAAGATCTTATATGTTTCTTAAATTTTCTTTAAGTCAATACACGAATGTAAGAGCAATCACTAACAAAACTTAGAAATACTGTTTCTGATGAATCACAACTTACAAACTCATATTTTGTTCTTGGAAGTTAGTAAGATGATAAGCTGACAAACTCAACTGTTCCTGGAAGGTAACACATTTTGATTTGTGTCAGAGATAGAGAAATGTGTGGACAATGAATTGTTTTTTCAGTAGTTGCAAAAGAGCTGATTCATCAATATATGGTAGCCTATACATTGATTTATGCCAAGGAAACATGTCAGAACACTGCAGCACTGTAAAGATAAGCTCCATGGTAGCCCTCATTTGAGTGGCTTAATACCACAGTAATTTACGTATCACAAAAACTCTATTTTAAATTTCCACCATGTATATTTCTTTTCTGATAGAATAATTCCTTTGAAACTCAGAGACATTTTAGCCATTTTCTTAAAAATAATAGCACCATATCTTTGTGTATTGTTTTCAAAGAACTTTTCTTCATGTGATCTTTTATTTTCTATTTTCATAGTATCTTCGTGAGGTGAATAGGAGAGCTGTTATCATTACAGATGAAACAAACTGAGGTTCACAAACATTAATAGGCTGTTTAGCGATACAGACTGAGAAGTGACTTTACTCAAAAAAGACTTTTCTGTAGTAAATGTGATGATACTGAAATGTCCTAGGGAGGCCCACTGGGGAGACTAGCGTGAGCCAATACTGACCTAGAAGGAGGTTGTCAGGGACCATGATCAGCAGGAGAAGGCAAGGCTATCCCTTATCCACAGGAGAAGACTATGTATCCACAAACCACTTTATTAACCTTGATTCAAGTGACTTTTTAATTAAAGTAATGTATAAACTTAGTAATAACAATAATAACACAAATTCTCTTTAAAAGCTATTTTATATTGTAGTAAAAATAAACACATGACATGATATTTACTTCCAAATGCTTTTCTAGGTATATAATACAGTATTTTTAACTAGAAGCACAGTGCTGTACAACAGATCAAGTGAATTTCTGCATCTTGCATGATTGAAACTTTATACTCACTGAACAGCAGCTACCCATTTGCTCCAGCCACTGGCAATCATCATTCTACTTTTTGTTTCCATGTGTTTGATTACTTTAGATAACTTGCCTAAGTAAAATCATGCAGTGTTTGCCCTTCTGTGACTGGCTCATTTCACTTAGTATAATGTCTTCAAGTTTCTTCCATGTTGTCCCATATGACGGGATTTCCTTTTTTTTAATTTTAAGACTGAATGAGATTTCATTGTTGTATATAGCATATTTTCTATTTCCATTCATCCACTGACAGGCACTAAGTGTACTTCCTTACCTTGAATCTTGTTGTATTAGTCCATTCTCACGTTACTGTAAAGAACTACCAAGACTGGATAATTTATAAAGAAAATTGGCTTCATTGACTCACAGCTCTGTAGGTTGTACAGGCAGCATGGCTGGGGAAGCCTCAGAAAACTTACAATCAGTGGTGGAAGGCTAAGGGGAAGTAAACACCATGTCCTCACATGGTGGAGCAGGAGAGAGAGAAAGAGAAAAGGGGGAAGTGCTACATACTTTCTAACAATCAGGTCTTGTGAGAACTCACTCACTATCACAAGAACCACAAGGGGGAAACCACCCCATGATTTAATCAACTCCTGTCAGGTCCTTCTCCACATTGGGGATTGCAATTCTATGTGAGATTTGGGTGGGGACACAGAGCCAAACCATATCTCTTGTGAATGCTGCAATGAACATGGAATTACAAATATCTTTGAGATCCTGATTTCGATTCTTTTGGATAAATACCTAGAAGTGAAATTACTAGATTTTATGGTAGTTCTATTTCAATTTTTAGAGAAAATTCCATATTGTTTTCATCATGTACCATTTTACATTCTCATCAAAAGTGCACAAAAGTTTCAATTTGCCTACTAGGCAAGCCTTGTTTTTTTTAGTTTTTGATAAAGTTATCCTAACAGGTATGAGGTGATGCTTCATTGTAATTTTGATTTTTATTTTCCCAATGACTAGTGATGTTAAATCATCTTTTTAATATACTTATTGGTCATTTGTATGCTTTCTTTAGAGAAATGTCTATTTGAGTCCTTTGAAAATTTTTAACTTGGAAATTTGGTTTTTGTTATCAAATTGGAAAAGACTTTTTAAATGTACTTTGGATATTAACCTTTTATCAGATATGTAATTTAAAAATACTTTTTCTCATTCTGTAGGTTGCCCTTTTGTTTTGTTGATTGTTTCCTTTGCAGTAATGAAGTATTTCAGTTTGATGTTATCCCACCTCTCTACTTTAGTTTTTGGTGCCTATGTGTTTCAGATAATCCAAGAAATCTTTTCCAAGACAAACTTCATGAAGCCTTTTTCTTTATGTTTTCTTCTTGTAGCTTTATAGTTTCAGGTGTTAGACTTAAGTGTTTAATCCATTTTGAGCTAATTTTTGTATATTGTGTAAGAAAAGATTCTAATTTCATTCTTTCACACCACAATATGCACTTTTCCCAGTATCATTTGTTGAAAAGTCTATCCTTTCGTAGCGTGTATTTTACACAGCCTTGTGAAAGATCAGTTGACCTTATAAATTGTGTTTATGACCGCGCTCCTTATTCTGTTCCATCAATCTGTATGCCTGTCTTTTGCCAGGACCATCTGATTTTAATTTACTGTAGCTATGTCATTCGTTTTGAAATCCGGAAGTGTGGGACCTCCAGTTTTGTTCATCTTTCTCAAGATTGCTTTGGCTATTTGAGATCTTTTCTGGTTTCATATACGTTTTAGAATTTCTTTTTCTATTTCTGTAAAAAATTCCATTAGGATATTGAATGGGTTTGCATTGAATTGGTAGATGGCTTTGGGGCACAGTGGTTGAGCAAGTGTAGGGAGAGAGTCTTATGAAGAGGTTGTGGTATTGAGTCCTTGGATCATGAGGAAATGAAGGGAATCAACTATGATTGTCTCAGTGGTATGAATCAAATGCAGTGCTCAGCGTGAAGTCTGCCTCAACAACAGAATCAAAGTTTGGCCTTGTAATTTTAAAAAAATTGATGCATGTCATATGCAGTCATATAAAAATCTTTCTCATTTAAACAGAGGTCCATGTAGACATTTTCAATGGAAATGTTCTGTAAATATGGAATAAAAAAGACAGACACAGAATATGAGAATGGAGCTTTTTTCATGGAAGGTTACTTTTAAAAGTTTGATAGCTAGTCTTTTTTTCCCCAATGAAATATAAGAATATAAGAGGGAAATTGTAGAAAAACTAAACATAAACCCACTCAAGCATATATTCTACATATAAGATGAATATGCTACAGTGGATGACACTTTGTATCTCAAATAAAGCATAATATACAAAATACCAAATCACCTAGTCAACTTCAAAATTTTTTCACACATTCAAGAGAACACACACACACTCATCCACACACAAACACATATACACACACACACACACGAAGTTGTATTATTGAGCCAATACTTCACTCTTAGTTGCATTTACTTTCAGTGTACTTTCTGAACTCCAGATTTTCCTCCTTAAGCCTGTCTAAAAAATTCTCAGGCAAAATACAAACTGCACTGTATGCAGATGTGTTGTAGGAAGTATCCTTGTTTATTTAGTTCATGTATAGCTTTTATTTCCATACTTGGTCACACTGAATCCCTGACAACTTTAAAAATTCAATGTAGATAACAGGTGACAAATCATCCTCCTCTCTGTCAATTCAGTCTCTGACACCAGATTTTACATGGCAAACTCCTGCAATCCTCATACATATGAACACTGAGCATTGGACATTTATCCAGGACCATTACAAATATAATTCCTTATCTAGTATTTCAAACCAATCTAATACTTCTTTAAGTCATGTACCAGATATTGCTATATAGGATATAGTCATCAACCAAGCTCTTCTGCTTTAAGAACAGCTCTTTGTTTTCTTCTTAATTCAAAACATTTATTCAGCACTATCTATATGGCAGAGGATAGTCTAGATTTTTGGGATGCATCGGTAAACAAAAGCAACACAAATGCCCGCTTTCACAGGCCTTAACATTCTAGCGTACTTGGACGAAAACACAACCAGAATTTCAATTTTTCTGTTAACAAATGAACCTACTTTCAATTTCTCTCTTTTTAGTGTTGGAGGAGGATGCAAACATAGCTTAACAAAGAGTAAAATGTATGGGTATTTCTGGTCATTAAAAGAGGTCAGGGATTTAAGAAGTTTTCTGAATATGATTTATTTTAATCCTCACAGCAATTGTATTTCTCAGTAAGAAGACTGGTACTCAAGGTGATTGCACAGCTTGTATTAGATGTAACTGAGTTAGAGACCCTGTTTTCCTACTTAAATCTGGCTTCCTCAGATGGAAAGGCATGCTGTGCTTGTTTGCAGCGCGATTCTTTCTCTTCAGAACACAAACAGACATCTTGAAGATATTGATCTACTTTTATGTAATTAAAATACTCCAACTTACACATTCCTATGGGACAAGCAACAAAAATAGAAATATCCTGATGTTCCCTCCCCCAAAACAAAAATGTTTCTTCTTTTTCGTGACTGGATTCTTCTTACCTCCCCTTTCTCAAAAATGTGCTCCTCACTTCAGTAATACTGAGTATTCTCTGGAGGTTTCTATCCAGCCACACTTGATTTCCCCCATGGGAACAGCTATATTAACTATGATTTGTATCCTTACATAAAATTTTATACATATATATTTGTCTGGATAGTTTTTACTGTATGTTCATGTCTGTTTCTCCTAATAGTTATCACAAATACATGACTGAAGTAGATATCATATTCATTTTCACTTTTGGCCTGTAAATTCTTTTTTTTTTTTTTTTTTTTGAGACGGAGTCTCGCTCTGTCTCCCAGGCTGGAGTGCAGTAGCACGATCTCAGCTCACTGCAAGCTCCGCCTCCGGGTTCATGCCATTCTCCTGCCTCAGCCTCCCGAGCAGCTGGGACTACAGGTGCCCACCACCACACCCGGCTAATTTTTTTGTATTTTTAGTAGAGATGGGGTTTCACCATGTTAGCCAGGATGGTCTAGATCTCCTGACCTCGCGATCCGCCCGCCTCGGCGTCCCAAAGTGCTGGGATTACAGGCGTGAGTGAGCCACCGCGCCGGGCCGACCTGTAAATTCTTTAATGGAACGTTTCGTGCAATTGTCAGTAGCACACTAACTTGCGTGGAACTGGGGAAATAATGGGAGCTTAAAGGAGAGGAATGTGGGGGAGTTATCAGCCTGTGAAATAGGTCTAAGACTGCTGAACAAGAGAGGGAAAGAAGGTCTCAGACTATACATTTGGTAAGGTTGTTGGGGCCAAATTGTCCCTCACGTACAGGCCTGCCTAAAGTATTGCCTGCCAGCAAACCATGGGAAACACAGCCTCCAGCGTTCTCCTGGGGTGCGTTTCAGAGCACAGTAGCTGCGGCTATGGGTCAGTTAAATTCCCCACAGTGGAAAATCTGAGAGGCGCATAGTCTAGATGATGCAGAATCTGTGAGGCATCTTCTTCTACTCTTTTCCAGATCACGTATGTTCCTTATATTTCCCTAGTTTATGACACTACAGTAGGCTGGAGTCCCCATATATTTTGGAAAATAAATGATCCAAAATTATATAAAATACAAAAATGAATATATATAGGAAATATCATATATATAATATTTGAAGATACATATAATACATTTATATATTTATATATATAATAGCTTATATAGGTATTTTTAAATTTAGAGGAGGTTACATCTCAATAGCTCATAATGTTAAAATGTTAAAGAAGAATATAAAATATTGTATAATGATGAAAGACTAGTATATGCAATAATTTCCACTAAATACCTTATGGTACAGAAATAAATTTCTTTCAGACATGTTATATAGGGAATATATATATATGTATATATATATATATATACTTTGTATTCATATCGAATTAGAAAAATGTCTTGATATTTTCACAAGGCTTAATCTGCTTTTAAAATAGTCAAACATTCGTACTTGGTATATACTTCATATGTATTCTCATTTGAAATATTCAGTAGAATCATCTAAACCAGTAGGAATATAGTAAAGACAAATCTTTAATGGGAATAAGTTGAGTAAAACTTATAATAAGTTGAGGCATTTAAATAATTTGTTACTAAGCAAATATTAATTTAATATTAATCAGTCACGTCAAGATACTATAGTTATCAAATTAACACATTTCTGGAACTCAAAACTTCTTTTGATTTTAGGAATTAATAGTTTCTCTATATTTAGGCAACGTATCTGTTTTCTTTTTCATAAAAACCTGATGGTGTTCAATGAAACATAACATTTTGTGGATCATTACTAAGGCATCTCTATTATTTCCTAAATAGCATTCACATATTATCCTCCAAATTCTTTACAAAAAACATAGAGAAAACAGCAGGGCAAAGTAAAGAAAAGCGATGTGTTAAATTTTCAAAGGCTTACATCTAATGACATGGTTTAAACCAGCAGAGTGTAGGTGTGATATTTGCTGGTGACAAAGCCATGCATCTGTGGATAGCGTTCCCTGAAGGAACTAGGCACTTGTGGGCCAGAATTGCTTTGAGATTCTTACATAAATTGCTTTGAGAAGAATGCAAGAAATTATATTACCCTTTTCACTTTTGCTTTTTATTTCTAACACAATTTATTTCTCTACATACTTCATTGTGAGAGGGGGGAGGGATCAACAGTGCTGTTCTAAGCTTTCTGCTGGCAGTGAAGTTACAATGACTATGAAGCCCACATTCCGTGTGCATTTAGTGTTTATAAAAGGTAGAGTTTATGCCATGATAGTGGTGACCTTAACAAAACATTTTTGAGCCTTCGTTTTTGTGGTCTTGTTTTGAATTTTTGAGCTACTTTTATTTTTCAGAAAATTTTGCAGCAGCTTACTAACAGAAGAAAGGCAGAAATTCAGCCTTCCTATTCAGCATGAACTTTTCAATGATTCTGTTTTCTGTATGATCATCAGAATTTTCCTCCCATAGCTGGAGACCTGCTGACATGTGTATTTAAGTGCAGGAGTGAAATATTAGCCTCATGTAACAGGAAGAGAAAACTATAGCTTTTCATGTTTTTTAAAGTATTTTCTTCTATGCTGCTGATTGCAAGCTAACGGGTAATAATTTCCATCTGGTTGTGTCTTGCACCTGTTTTGCTGCCCCATTTTCATCTTTTCTCTTGAGCAGGAAAGTTTTTGCTGTTTCCTACAAGAGTGGTAAATATCTACTGTACAAATACAAATAGTAACAAACAGTGTGGGCTCACACAGATTTCAACAAAAAAACAGGATTTAATTAAAAAGCAGCTGAAGTCATGAATCTACACATTTTAAACTGGAAAACAAATATGATTAGCCCTTATGAGTTAATTTCATTTTCTTTAATCCTTCCTGTAGCCTCAATGACTTGGAAATTCTTTAGAAGGATTTCAAAGTAACTTACAAATTAAATCAAGTTATAGTTGATTTTCTTGCAAATAACTGCTTTTTGGAAGTATTATAGAAACACCTGGGAGAATCACACAACATTCAGCAAATACATGATGCTTCTTTCTTGTATACACTGTGCGCTTTGCACAGATAAAACATTACAAATTTCCAATTGACTTCACTCTTTAGACTACATTATGTGGTGGCAGTGATGGGAAAGTATTTTCAGATTTTAATTCATGGGATGCGCAATTTTCCTCTTAAAGTTGTGGTGATATATCAACTATCTAGTTGTTTAATGGCCAGTGACACCCAGCAATAATTTACAGTATCTGTCTCATTATATATGAAAATCTAAATTTGCTATAAGAATGGTAATTCAGGAGAATAATCAATATAGCAGATCAGATGCTAATCATTTGAAACTTAAATGTTGAAATCCAAGGGAAACCAGTGTTGCTAATGTATGGAATGAAACATGCTCTCATGCTTTGACAGTTATTTTGGATTATAATTGGCTACAGCTGATCTAATCATTTTTTCAAAACAATTTAAGACACATTAATGCCATTCAGACTATTATCTCTAATGTGAAATAATCAGAATAAACATAGGCCTTGCCCAGAAAGAACAGTGTATTGCATTGGTCATTTAAAATTTTCCAATGAAATTTCTTAAATATTCTTAAATCTAGAATATAGTTTAGTAATACAGACTCCCTTTCTCTATTTTGTTTTGACTAAGGCAGCCAATATAATGTTGAACTGAATATACAGTGGCTTTATCAGCCTTAACTTTTGAGACCAATTAAACAAAATACTTGAATCCCGCTGTGCCCCAGTTTATATATCTGTAAAGTAGAAATAATAATATAGTATACCTTGAAGTGTTCCTGTGTTCCTATTAAGTGAATTGATTCATGTAAGTGCCATAGAATAAAGCCTGGCAAACAGTAAGAGATTTAGACATTTTAGCTCTCACTATTCTTGCTTTAGGAAGTGCTGATTTAATTGTCATGATCATCATCTTCCACCTTACAGGCAGAACTATTTTATTAATCTATCACTTTGTCATAATTAATCCATATCTACATCCTAGAATTTAGCATACTGCACCACTGATTTCTCTTTTTCCATCTTTCTCACTCTAGTGAATTTCTGTAATAAAGAGGAAATAGAAACCCATTCAAAGTAGGAAGTCTTTGCTACCTATCAAACAGTGAACTGAATGACCTCAGTATGATAATTTAGAACACCATTCATTTTATGTGCAATAACATTGTTGAGGACTGATGAAGCTTCATTGTGGTAATTATGAGTATAGTGATAAAATATAGATTTATTTATATTTATATTTTAAGTACTTTCTAAATAAAATATATTGCTTAATATAATTTTAATATATAACTACAATTAGATGCTGTTGTTATGTTATACTAATGAAATAAATGTAATAAATCTCACTAGATGTTTTTCCCATGCGTAATTACAATAAATAACTCCATTTTCTTATGTTATATGAGCTTCCTGCCAGGCTTTATCTCCAGCACCAAGCTCGGTGCCTGGCACCACAATCTTTGTTAGATGTATGTTTAATGAAAGAATTAATGTGGATTTAATGTGCACACTGTGGCTTACTGTAAATTAACCTAGGGATATAGTTTTTATTAAAATAATTTTTCCTAGAAAAGGGAATACATGTCCTTCTGGTCCCTGTAACTGTTATCATATTTTCTCTCAGATTTTCTACTCTTTTATTAATTTATCTGGAGCCTTGAAAGAGCCCAGACTCAAATAAGACAGATAAGGACACATACACAGATATTTATACTGCAAATAAAGCTTAAAAATAATTTGAGTGCATGGATGGTGGGGCATAAATTCAGTTGTTTAGTGGAAAGGCAACATATAAGAAAAAATACCACAGATGCACAGATGTTTGACAAGAGTCTAGATTTATATAAAGAAGATATCTAGGTATTACAGGAGTCAGTGGAATAGAAAGCCATATTTTTACCCCAAATTTTGTTCTGAGGGAAGAACTAGAGGCAAAAGATAATTACTTTTAGCAAAGGTAAGTTCTTCTTCATAATTTAATTGATCCAACAATACAACCCAATATTTAAGTATTTCATGGATTTTTTTTCCAGAAAATCTACAAAAGTAGAGGTGGGAAGTCACATGCATTGATGCTTCAGAACACAGGAAGATGAGCTAATCATCTGCCAACCTTGAACTGAGAAATTGTGATCCCAATATATAAAGTATAATTGTGCAAAATAGTCTTAGGGACTATTTTAAATCCCTCTTCAGCTCATGTACGGGTTGATTTGTTCACCTAATAAATGCAAATTACCTGTTAGTATGTGAAAGGGGAAAATTATGAATACAACACAATTTCCAGACAGTGCACTTACGAGCCTGTTGTGTGTATTCTCTTCAAGGAACACAATGGAAAAAAATAATGAGTTCTTCCTGGGATTGTACAGACATTTGCTCTAGGTGTTGGAGGATGGCTTATTGGGCAGGCTGGGCCAGTGGGCAAAAGGGAACAGCGAGAAGGGACACTATGGGAGGGGAATCACATGTTTAAAGACAGAGAAGGTTGAAACAGCTTTCCGTTTTTAGCTGTGTGTTTTTGAACTATGCCTTAATTAATATGACTGTACTACTTACAAACTGTAGATGGTAAGTCTGGAGAGATACAAAGAAGCCTTGAATGACATGCTAAATTGTTTGGACTACATTCTAAAGTTGACATAGGGTTAGTTTAGGTTACTGAAAATAATTAAAATCGTAATATTATAACAGGTAAGCGTAGTAAATAAGAATATTTACTAACATCTGCTTTAAAAAGTGAGATTGGAGTGCTTAAAAATAATCTGCCAATAATTATTGCTTATCTTTACAATTTGCAATACTAGTAAAGCTATTTACAAGTAATAGCTATAAATAGATGCTTTTATAATTTTGATGTGAGAACTTCCTATTTTTAAAAGTTACCTCTTAAACAGAAACCTGAATACTATCACATAATTCCTTTACTGCTGCAACGCTTTTTTTCTTTAAAAAAAGTTACCATTTTAAAAATCAACTTGCAAAAGTTTTCTATAACTCTATTTTTAATGTAATGCACTTATTAAACTTGCTGATATACCACCTTTTGCTAATGACATTTATTTTTTATAATTCTTCCTAAGAAGTTGATTCTTTCTGGGAATTATTTGCATAAGATAATGAAGCAGAATTACAGTGGAATTAGCAGCAATGCTATTAACATACTCTCCCCCCACACACCTCCTGTGGCCTTATGATAGACATCAGAGGAGGTATGTTTTTATTTTCCTTCACTTACAATAACAAATTAAAATTCAAAACTAGCAGGAAAAAAAGGTGTTGCTTCAGCTATTCTTTTAAAAAAAGTTAATGTTAATTGTGCTTTCAATATTGCTACCTATTAAACAAAAAATACTTCAGTGTTTTCATTAAGTGCCTTAAAATGGTTGTTCGATTCATGTTCCAGAGCATAATTGCCATTTAATCAAGAGAAGTTAGTAATGTTTGAAAATACTTAATAGCATCATATATTATAATTCTGTTCGCTTCTCACTGCATTTCTAAAATATCTTCCATTTTAATTTGCATTCACTTCTTCTAAGTCAATGTGTTTTGATCTTGTGGTAAATATTGTTTATAACCCAAAGGTGATTATAAAACTACATCCTACTTATTACTTAATAGATCCTCAATTTAGAATCAGTGTACTCAATTTATCTCCACTAGCTCTAAACAAATACTGTATTGTAAAGGTCAGATTTGACTGGCACAAGTAAACAAGTAATTTTAATAAAACCTCATTAAGAAGAAGCATATTTTCTACCTTCAGCATTTGATTGAAGTTGCTTCTTAGAATTAATTGAAGGGAAATTAGTCATACTTCATTTTTCTTGGCATACTTTGTTTATCAATACAAAAAATTTGTATAGAATGAGGTCAAATCAGATTACTCTGCTTTCCTTGATGTACAGCATATGAATACATTTATGTACTTTTAATTAGCAAGCCTATTTGGAAGAATTATGAACTGATGGCCCCAGTGATAGATATTTATGCTTAAACTTTACGAATATAAATTTAAATGTAAAACATGTTTGATTAACTGATAAAGTTGAAGGAAAATCAAATTCTCTTCAATGGTACCATGCTAAGGAACTAATCATTTAAAAATACACACACACACACACACACTCACACACACACACACACACATTTATCTCTCCAAGTGGAAAGATAGTTCTAGTAAAATCTAGGCATGGGTAAAAAGTTTTGTTTTCAGGTACAGTTTGATAGTGGTAAAAATATATGTTGTTTTCTTTTGTTTACTTTTATAACCCCATCCACATGGATTTTTCTGGAAAAATTGGCCATTTACCTGCCAAATACAGTTATTCTGATCTGCAGCCTAACAGCTTATTCCCTTTAGTTAAGTCCTGTTTCCATATGCAGCCTTCATTGAACTGCAGACATTACTTTGCCCTCTTTTGTTGGTCATGTTGTGATTATGGTATATTTTATTTTTTGCTACTTTCACTGCTAAGTTTTAGGCAATTATTAATTTCATGGAATATTAGAAAAGAAGTAAATTGGAATGATAAGATTGAAAGTGGTTAATTTGCTGTTAATAACAACACTTAAAATATATTCCTATCCTTTCTTAGTTTCATAATTCCATTGAAAATGAACAGTTTAATTTTTTTTTTTTTAAGAGGGAGTCTCTCTCTGTCACCCAGGCTGGAGTGTAGTGGTGCAATCTCAGCTCACTGTAACCTCCACCTCTTGGGTTCAAGTGATTCTCCGTCTCAGCCTCCCAAGTAGCTGAGACTACAGGTGCCCACCACCACGCCTGGCTACATTTTTTTTTGTATTTTTTAGTAGACATGGGGGTTTCATCATGTTGGCCAGCCTGATCTCAAACTCCTGACCTCAGGTGATCCACCTGCCTCGGGCCTCCCATTATGCAGAAAAGCTGGGAGATGAGGACTGTCCCCATCCTACTTGCCAGAGCAAAGTGTACATTCTGAAATTTCTGGAGGAATTGAGTAGCCCAGTTGACAATACTGGATATCCTCACTGCAGCCTCACATACTCTGTTCATTCACAGAAAGGAACTCTATAGTAATGTTTAAAGCAGACACATCATTTTCTCTTCTAAGAAAGATACAATACCATTAAATTGGTGCAAAAGTCATTGCAGTTTTGCCATTACTTTAAATGACAAAATCTGCAATAATTTTTGCACCAACCTAATACTTACTGGATTCAGTACTAGGAGAGGATGGGGAGAATTGAAGAATTTTACTCAGTCTTCCAGGCCTGGGACATCTACCTCTAATCTTTCCCTAAGGAATCTACAAAAGAATAATCATGGTTAGCCATGATTTTAATAGGAAGCAACCACTTTACTCAGCAGCATCACATTTTTTCTCCCCTGAACCAACACAGGTATCAAATGGAGGCTGATGGGAGTATACATGAAGTCATAATATTTACATTTGTGTCCATGGTATAACCCATGGAGGATTCCTTGACTCTGATTCTAATACTCCTCATTGTAGACCGAATATTTGTGTTCCCACGAAATGCCTATGTTGATACCCTAACCCCTAATATGATGGTAATAGGAGGTAGGGCCTTTGGGGGATAATTAGTTTAAGTGAGGTCCACCTGTAATCCCAGCACTTTAAGAGGCTGAGGCGGGTGGATCATGAGATCAAGAAATCAAGACCATCATGGCCAACATGGTGAAACCCTGTCTCTACTAAAAGTACAAAAATTAGCTGGGCATGGTGGTGCATGCCTGTAGTCCCAGCTACTCAGGAGGCTGAGGCAGGAGAATTGCTTGAACCCAGGAGGTGGAGGTTGCAGTGAGCTGAGATCGCGCCACTACACTTCAGCCTGGTGACAGAGCAAGACTCCGTCTCAAAAAAAAAAAAAAAAAAAAAAAAAAAGATGAGGCCCTGAGAGTGGAGCCCCATGATGGTATTAGTGTCCTTATAAGAAAAGAAAGAGACTAGAGCTTGCTCTTTTTCCATCATGTGCAAATTTACCAAAAAGGCGGTAATCTGCAAACCAGAAAGTGGATCCTCACCAAGAACCAAATTGGCTAGCACCTTGATCTTGAACATTGCAGACTCCAGAACTGTAAGAAATAAATTTTTGTTGCTTAAGCTACTGCATCCATGGTAATTTGTGATACCTTCATGAACCAAATAAAACTCTCCTCATTTCCTTTCATTCCTTAGATTCTATAACCTTCTTATCCTAGAGACCTACCCCTTCTTAATAGGTGATATAGCCCCACCTCTTCTCCTCTACTACAGATGTGACTCTCAACAACTATTACTGGATTTTTTTTATATTCTTAATTTCTTGCACATCTTAAAGTGAGAGACGATTCTGGCTCTCCACATATAGAGAGAGGGAGGGCAGGAAATGGGCTGTAGAGCTGCTTGGATCTCAGTACTCTTTTCCAGTGATGACTGCTGGCTTCCTTCTGAATTTCCTCCAGGCTGACACAGCCTACCATCTGGGATGTGAATTTGCTTTTGAGGAACTTAGAGTATACCCTCACATGAAAAAATTATATTTCACCTATTAAAATGATTTTTTTCTTCCACTCCTAGCAAACTTATGACTCAATCTTCTTAGGCCAAATCCATGGTAATTTAAAAATTTTTATCTTCCTGAAAAAATAATGGTTGCTTAATTCTTCTTTCTAGACTTCTCCCTGCTTCCAGATCACAACTTTCACTTGGCCTTTCTCTGTTTGACTAGTCACTCCTTATGAATCACTTTTGCTGATTCTTTTCTTATTTTCTAAAATGTAAATATTATCGGGTCTCAGGGTTCAGAATTCTGAACTTGTCTTAGTCTATGTTCACTTTTTGGGGGATATTATATAGACGTATGATAGATTTATATAAACTCTAGCACACGACTATTATGTTATTGAGCTGGCACTGCATATCAGCAAGATATTCTTTATTTCAAAATATTTCCAAGATATTTTTAGGTACAGTTTATTTGACAGAATGTCTAATGTAACTTCAACTCTCCTTGATTCAGATAGTAAGTTAATTGATGATGTTGCATATATCTGGGTAACCTTGAGTGAGGAGCGTCCCGCTTATAGACATATACATCACAAATGCTTCTAAAACAATTAACAGGAAAACCCCCAAAACAACAGCAAACAAAATTAAGTCAATGAAATTTCAGGCAGCAATCAATAATAATGTAGGTCTTAACCAAAGACTGTTGGGGTAAAGAATGAAGGAATCACAAAACACATAGCAAAATTTTCAGAAAATGGTCTTTATATAATTATCTTTTGCCTCAAAATTTTTTTCATAAAGCTCATCCTCCAGCACCATCTCACTCATCCCCTGCACCTGCCATCTCCACATGTTCTCAACTTCTCTCTGGACTTGCGCTAGCTTTTGTTTGCTTTGTCAATATTTCCCTAGCAATTAGTATTATGATTACTGACATTTTTACTTATATTCTTATTTCTGTTATTGTCTTGCCAACAAATATTCATAAAACGTTCTCATTGACCTTATTACTTTATACCTAACCTATGAGGCTGTCATTGTTAATAACATTTTTGAAATACCTTTTGTTGTAATACTTTGATAAAGAATTACATAAGCAAACCATTTTTATTACTTTATTGTCATGCCTCATGTATCACAGCTAAATTCTGAAATCAGACTCTTGGCTTGAGAATGCAATCAATCTGCCAGAGACAGAAGTGTGAAGTGGTTTGTTGTTTTAGTTGTGGGGCGGGGAGACAAAAAATGCATGTATTGAATATAAAATGCTTTAACTAAATTTGAAAACTAAAAGCACAGTCCTTTATAGACAAATAACAAGAAAAAGACTAAAGACTAATATGTTGGCCAAGAATTAAAGCATCTCAGCTGGGGAAGATGCATATAATTCCTTTTTCAATAAATGGGAGTACTGTGGGCATCCCACCACTGAAAAACATGCCAGAAGTTTATCTCCTAAATGATTCAGTATGGTGAATCATGACTCAGTATTTCCCAGAATGAAATAAAATGCTTAAAAATACTACAATTTACTAAAATGAAGAAGTTAAAATATCACTTGCCTATTAGTAGCATTTGTGTTCACCTTTATTATTAGAACTAAAGAACTGGGTCTCCAAGAACAGAGAAGAAACAATGATTGTAATGTGTCTGATTTAAGCCAAAGCAACCTTCTTTTCATGAGAATTTTAATTTAAAAAATCAATAGAAGGATTCTAACCACATCAGGTTCTCAGTGTTGGGGAAAAATTTCAGAGCATGCTAAAAATAATCTTTGCAGTGCCTGCTCCAAATTTCAGTGTAAAATTCCCCCATAAGTACAATTTCAAAATCAAAATTTTAGCTAACAACAAAAGGCATGAATGTGGATGTAATGTATTGGGTGAAAAATAATATGAATAATGAGCATTATGGAGAATGACTTTTATTTTATTTTATTTTTTTTATTTTTTGAGACGGAGTCTCCCTCTATCGCCAGGCTGGAGTGCAGTGGCGTGATCTCAGCTCACTGCAACCTCTGCCTGCAGGGTTCAAGCAATTCTCCTGCCTCGGCCTCCCAAGTAGCTGGGGATTTATTTTTCTCAAGCAATTCTCCTGCCTCGGCCTCCCAAGTAGATTTGGGGATTTATTTTTCAATAGCTAGTGAGAATTCCTCTAACTTATAAAGCACCTGCTTTATGCTAACCACTTTTTAGCAGCTTTGCTATCAAACATGGCAAAAACTATCTGATAACAGCCAGGCATATAGAAAGCACAATCTAATATATGAGTCTGAATTTTACTGTGTCCCTTGCTGAAAAAAATTCAGCCATTAAAATAACCAAAAAATTCATAATCAAGAAATATGTTTCTGTCATGAATAGTTGTTTTTTACTTTAGAGTGTAAAGCATGAGATGATTATTTGGAGTGGATAATTATTAACTAATACTGACTTGGGGTGGATTATTTGGGGTGGATTATTGTTAACTAATACTGAGTTCTTGCTCTGACAATCAAGAATTTCAAATACACATTAGCACCACAGAAATTACCAAAGTTAAGGAAATATATGTTACGTGAAATGTATCTTTGAAATTTTAATAAGTGTGTGAACTTAACTTCCTTACACATATTTGCTATAATTTTGACCTAAGCATATTTTCTACTAAGGCATGATGCTGTTAACTGACATGATAGTATACTGTAAAACATGGCTGTATAATTAGCCAAATGTATGAAAAATAAACACTACTTTACTGACAAGTGTAATTAAAGGAAATTGGTAAATTAAGTACATTGTAATTATATTGTAAGTAGTTAATATTAAAAATAGTCATTCTTCAGCTGGGCGTGGTGGCTCACGCCTGTAATCCCAGCACTTTGGGAGGCCGAGGAGGGCAGATCACGAGGTCAAGAGATCGAGACCATCCTGCCCAGCATGGTGAAACCCCATCTCTACTAAAAATACAAAAATTAGCTGGGTGTGGTGGCGCACTCTTGTAGCCCCAGCTACTTGGCAGGCTGAGGTAGGAGAATCGCTTGAACCAGGGAGGTGGAGGTTGCAGTGAGCTGAGATCGCACCAGCACTCCAGCCTGGCGACAGAGCAAGGCTCTGGAAAAAAAAAAAAAAAAAAAAAAGAAAGAAGGAAGGAAGGAAGGGAGGGAGGGAGGGAGGGAAGGAAGGAAGATTTTATATTACTTCTGTTCTCATTGGTTTGGCCATAGTAGGGACATGGTCCCACCCTAACTGCACAAGGGGCTTGCAAATATGGTCTCCCTATACTCTTGGGGAAAGAAAACTAGACTGGTAAACATCTAGCTGGTTTCATCCAAAACAACAACAGCAAATCATTGGATGTGTCTCCCTACTGAGCCTTTCTTCATACAAAATGCGTATACATTAGCTAGCAGTTCTTCTGAACCTTTGACTCAAGGCACAAGTAATACTTAGGAAGAGAAAAGAAAATTATATGTCCCAAAGTAAGAAATGAGCTCAACTTCTCTAATTCCCTCCCTTTACATAGAGCAGAGAAAATTAAAAAGTTTCACTATTACATAAACTATAATTGTATAGGAATTACCTTACTTGAAAAATAACTATTATCCTAGTATATGAGCAGTTGAAACTGATAGCCGAGAAAGATTTTTTTAATGACTTACCTAACTCAGCTTTTAATTGCTAATTAATAAGAATAGGAATCTTTTATCCTTTACTATGAGACATCAAAGCAGTAGAAAAAAGCCAAGAAGACAAATCTGCCTGCAAGTTAGGCTCTTATTCCAAGGAAGTTAATTTTTTTAAACATGTTTTTATTTACTACGAATAAATAAATTCGATTAGTGAAAAATAAAAGTGTGCTTTTAACATTCCATATTCTCAATTCATTTTCATTACGCTGCCACTACTTTAGGTGTGAAGTTGATGTAAATATTATAAAGTAATTGGTCATATTTTGCATTTCAAATCCAATCACTAAGGGTCATTGACATAATCTGTGAAACAATATTTGTTTTTTGTTTTTTTTTGAGACAGAGTGCAGTGGTGCGATCTCAGCTAACTGAAACCTCTGCCTCCCAGGTTCAAGCAATTCTCCTGCCTCAGCCTCACAAGTAGCTCGGATTACTGGCACATGCCACCACACCCGGCTAATTTTTTGTATTTTTAGTAGTGATAGGGTTTCACCATGTTGGCCAGGCTGGTCTCAAACTCCTGACCTGAGGTAATCCACCCACCTCGGCCTCCCAAAGTGCTGGGATTACACACATGAGCCACCGTGCTCGACACACATTTGGTATTTTCAAAAATGTGGCTGACATGTAATAATCAACAAACTTTATATAAGCCAGATGGCCAAAAACATATGTTTCTACTGTTTAGTAGATTTTGCTAAGTGGAAGCTCTGATTCAAAACTGTAAAACTCTAAAGATGACCAAGAGTTAGTAAGAAAAAATATACAAGCACTAATTTTTGTACATTATGTACTTTGGTAGACACATATTTCAATGTGGGATCCGTGGAAGAGAAGCTTTGGCAGTTCTCAGCTTCAGACCTGAAAAATGCATTGTTTTCTTTATGATTTTTCAAAGGCATGTAGAGGGTAAGCTCAGAGAGAGAAATCTGAAAGTTGAGAAATAATATATATGCTTCTTGTCATGATCTCTCTCTGCCTCTCTTTCTTCTATCTCATTGACAATTCCAAACTAGTATCCTTAATACAATAACATTAAAGAACAATACCAAAACATTGCTTTACATTCTAACACAAGTATTTAGTTTCAAGTGACTTTACTTCAAATTCCTGAATGCCTAGAAGACATCCAAAAGTATTTTTTTTAATTCTAAAGAAATGTCTTCATTATTCAAAAACCTCTTTGAAGTTAGAAAGGAACAAAGCAGGAGAAAGATAATCACGTCTTCCAGAAAACAATCCTTTGTTGTTGCAAAAGCAAAACAAACAAAAACAATTAAATAAGCAAAAAATGACTGTGCTGTTTCCTAAATTAAAGCACCAAGAAAAGGAAAAAGGCTATACATTCCATACTTCAAAAACCATAAACACAGCCTTAGGGGAACCTGGCTTGGGAAGGTCTGAAGGAAAACTACCTGCTGAACAGGTATTTGCAAGTCAGTTAGACACTGGCTGCTGGTTCAGCACTGGCCCTCATTCCCTTCCCGGAGCCACGTTCCTCTGGGGCATAGAGTGTTGCCGTATAAGTCTGTTGTTTTAACTGCAAAGCCCTTATCAACTCAGATCATTTTTATCCTTCAGTCTTTGCTGTTCTCGTCAGTGTGCCTGCTAGAGCTGAGATTTCTGTCTTTCATGCCCTCTGCATGTTGCCGATAATGAAATGTTCTTTTAAACTTGGAGACTGTGTCTCTCGTCAGAGCATTTTCTCAGAAGGAACCCTCTTTCGTAAAAGGATGTCTACTTCTAAACTGTGTCCCTAAGCTCTTTCTTGTGTTGTTTATAGGGGCAGTCTCAATTGCTATCCCCATTTCAATCATAAAAGATTAGATTTTTCCTTGTCTGTCACATTGTTTATTCCAACTAAATGTATGGGATGCATCTTAATATGTTACCTTTGGCATCAGAGATACAGTATTAAGCACAGCAAAGCTTCTTGGCTTCTTAAAGGTAACAATCTATGCAGGCAAATAGAAGATTAAATGATTCATAACAGCTAACACTCACAACTTAGTGCCATTCTAAGCAACTAATATGCTTTGTTTAACTAACTTATTATTACATACATGTGAGGAAATTATTACCTTTTACATATTAGGAAACTGAGGCACAGAGGTTGAATACGTTCCCTAAGGATTTTCTTTTTTAATCTAGTTAGTGGCTTTCGTCTTTGTCAGTCTGTGTCCAGCAACCAGAAAACACACCTTACTGTCACGTTAAAATCTGTGACATATGATAAGGATGATAATGGCAGAAGTACAAGGATTGATGAGACCCAGTAACAGAAGGAACCAGCAGTAGTCTCAGTCAGAGAAAATGTCCCTGGGAAGTACTGTTTAAGCTGATCCAGGTATGCTAGGCTGTGGTTAGTAGGGAGGCGGAGATGAAAGACACGAGGTGACACTTACCTGGATGTGGGTGGAGGGATGAGTGTGGTGATTTTAGAGGAAGACTTAGAAAAAAAAAATGGGAAATTCAGTGACTGTTTTGACAAGGTGGATGTCATGGGCTAAATTGCGTCTACCTGAAATTCACACATCGGAGTCCTAACCCCTAGTTCCTCGAAATAAGACTGTTTGGAGATAGGGCCTTTAAAGAGGGAATTAGGGCAGGCACAGTGGCTCACGGCTGTAATCTTAGCACTTTGGAAAGCCGAGGTTGGTGGATTGTCTGAGCTCAGAAGTTCCAGCCCATCTTGGCCAACATGGTGAAACCTTGTCTCTACTAAAAATAAAAAAAAATAAAATAAAATTAGCCGGGCGTGGTGGCACATGCCTGTAGTCCCACCTGCTTGGGAAGCTGAGGCATGAGAATCATTTGAAACAGGAGGCGGAGGTTGCAGTGAGCTGAGATTGCATCACTGCACTCCAGCCTGAGCGACAGAGCAAGACTGCCTCAAAACAAAACAAAACAAAACACAAAAGAAACAAACAAAAACAAAGAGGCGATTAATGTAAAATGAGGTGATGGACCCTAATCCCCATTCAATATGACTAGTATCCTTATTTAAGCAGGAGATTGGGACATAGGCACACAAACAGAATCAAGGAGGCCCTCGTGTGAACACAGCAAGAAAGGGGGAGGGGGGAGGGATAGCATTAGGGGATATACCTAATGCTAAAGGACGAGTTAATAGGTGCAGTACACCAACATGGCACATGTATACATATGTAACAAACCTGCACATTGTGCACAAGTACCCTAAAACTTAAAGTATAATAATAATAAAATAAAAAAAAAAGAAGTGGAAAAAACACTGGGAATGCAGAAGCACAGAAAAAAGACTGTGTGAGAATGCAGTGAGAAGACAGCCATCGGCAAGCTAAGGAGAAAGGCCTCAGGAGAAAGCAACCTTGCCAACTGCTTGTTGGACTTGTAGTCACTAGAACTATAAGAAAATCAATGTCTGCTGTTTAAGCCACCCAATCTGTGGTACTTTGTTATGGCAGCTCTAGAAAATTTGTTATGGCAGTTCTAGCAAATTAAAATAGTGGATAAAGAATATAGATAAATCAAAACAACCCCTAGGATCCTTCTGATCAGATACCTGAAATAATTTGCAGAGATAGGGACAAGCTGGTTGTTTAAGAATTTGATTTCTGTTCAGGAAAGTTATAAGAGAGAGGCTGGGTGCAGTGGCTCACGCCTGTAATCACAGCACTTTGGGAGGCCAAGGCAGGCGGATCACGAGGTAAGGAGATCGACACCATCCTGGCTAACACGGTGAAACCCCGTGTCTCTACTAAAAAAATAGCCGGGCGTGATGGAGGGCGCCTGTAGTCCCAGCTACTGGGGAGGCTGAGGCAGGAGAATGGCGTGAACCCAGGAGGCGGAGCTTGCAGTGAGAGGAGATCTCGCCACTGCACTCCAGCCTGGGCGACAGAGCGAGACTCCGTCTCAAAAAAAAAAAAAAGAAAGTTATAAAAGGAACTTAAGTGCTTTCTAACAAAATATTATTCAGAATCACAGTGTAAAAAACAAAGACCCATTTTATTAACAGACATTTTCAAATAAATTAATACAAACAAAAAGCGTTTCGAGGCACACAACAATTTTTGATATTAGTTTGTGGATGGCTTTGGCATTGTTATACTAGCTTATGAATGATTTTTGTCATGTTATATTAGCTTCATTATCTAACTTTTATTGTATTTTGTTGTAGATACATAGTTGTGAGAAAATCCTAACCCACACAAATAGGTCATTGGATATTATAACCATGTTTTCACAGTTCCCATATAGTCTCAGGTTGAATTTCAACAAAACAGAGATGGCGGTGAAGCTTTATTTTGAGATAAAATCTACATTAAAACAAATAAAGAAACAAATAACAACAACCACCACAATCCCAGCAGGTATTACAAGTTGTTTCCAACACATTTAATTTTGGTCTATAAAACTTGGAATGTGCAATTTATTATATATCATAATTATTCCAAATAATTAAGACATGAAAATTGATATAAAAAGTGTGTGGAATCCTTCAAACAGATGAGGAAAATTTTAAGGTGTCATTTGTTAGTTCTGTCAAAAATATGCATTGAGCACCTGTGAATCTGTGAAGGTTCTAGCAGAAAACAGATGGTAAATGTGAGATTATTTAACTGAAAAATAAATCAGTGAAGTGATTATTTAACAGGTGTAAACAGCGTTAAGAAAACAAGTAGGAATGTGAGAAATTCTGAGTTTTTAAGGACCGTAAACAGGGAAAACCCTTTGCTACCCCTAAGTCGGAAGGGACAAGGGGAAGACAAGTTTGTGAAAGCACAGATGATAGTGTGAGCTGTGGAGGTAGGTCCATTATGAAACTCGTAGAGTTGGAGGAAGCAGAGCAAAGCCAGAGGGTTGGGAACTGTTGACACAACCTCTCTCCTCCTGCTTTATGATCTTCTGCCAGGGAATTAATTACCATCGCCAACTGGAAGCAAAGGAATACAATGAAATCTAGAGCTGTCAGCCTTCTACACACACACAATAGAACAGAAAAAAAGGGGGACAGAAAAGAGAACAAAAATACAGCTACCTATTTACTACATTCCAGACATTATTCCAAGCCCTATAGACGTAGCAGGAAAAAAAAATTAAAAATGCCCTCAGACTCAAAGAGATACTTTCCACCAATGTTCATTGCAACTTTATTCACAATAGCCAAAAGATGGGAACCATCCAACTGTTCATCAACAGATAAAGGGAGAGCAAAATGTAGCATATGCATACAATGGAATGTCATTCAGCCTTTAAAAGGTCTGAATATCTGAGACATGCAACAACAGGTACAAATCTTAGAAATGTTATGCTAAGTGAAATAAGCCAGACGTGAAAGAATGAATACTGCATAATTCCACGTTTATGAGGTATCTAAAATAAGCAAATTCATAGAGATAAGGATATAGAAGTTATGGGTGGTTTATAGGGAGGGAATGATGGGGTTGTTTACAGTTTCTCTTTGGGTGAGATGAAGAAGTTCTAGATAGATGGTGGTAATGATTGCTCAACACTGCGAACATGCTTAGCACCACTGAGTTGTATACTTAAACTTGGAAATTTTACACTTACAAATTGTATACTTAAAATTGGAAATATTACGTGTACAACATTCAGTGTCTAACATTAAATTATGTTAACATTTCTTTTTCTCAAGTTTTTCTTTTCCTTTTGGTTTCTATGTACATAACTCCCATAATAAATACTATATTAAATTATACACAATTCGCTGGGCACAGTAGCTCATGCCTATAATCCCAGCACTTTGGGAGGCCTAGGCAGGTGGATCAGCTGAGGTCAGGAGTTCAAGAGCAGACTGACCAACATGGTGAAACCCGGTCTCTACTAAAAATACAAAATTAGCCAGGTCTAGTTCCATATGCCTGTAATCCCAGCTACTCAAGAGGTTAAAGCAGGAGAATCGCTTGAACTGGGAGGCAGAGGTTGCAGTGAGCCAAGATCGTGTCATTGCACTCCAGCCTGGGCAACAAAAGAGAAATTCTGTCTCAAAAAAAAAATAAAATTATAAACAATTTCTATTGTGTATATCAGAAATACGGAAATTGGATCATAAATCATGTGAGATGGGGATAAATCCTGAGGAAATTCAATAGAGCAATAAATGGTATAGGAAGTGTATGTTTGTGGGTGTAGGTGTGGTTGTGTGAGTGTGGATGCGGATATTGGTTTCAGAGGTGGAGGCTTCAATTTTAATAGAATACACAGGCAAGACCTATGGAAAAGGTAGCATTAGAATAAAGATCTCCAACCAATGAGGGAGTTCACCATTCAGACACCTGGCAAGAGGGCATCTCAGGTATTGGAACAGCACTTGGAATGGTTCTCGGGGATGGGAGGAGCTGTGCACTGTGGAGAAGAGGGACAGACGTGGACAGGTGGGGAAGTTAAGGAGTACTAGGGACATAGATCGCATGGGACCTGTGAGACAATCTAAAAACTAGTTGTTTTATTTTGTCTTCTACACTGAGAGAGGTGAGAAGTCATCAGAGTATTTTGAGGAGACTCGCATTCTAAGAGAGCACAGAACAACCATTCGATATACTCTTGTTCTCTCACTTTATACATGTTTACATCATGGGTCAAAAATGCTAAGATGTATCCCTACAAAATTAGTATGGAGCAGGGATTCAGACTCATGTTTTCTGACTCTATTACATTTCTCTATCCCATACCATCATTCCTCCTCATTACATCATTCAGTGGAATTTATGTATGACATTTGTTCAGTAGAGGCCTATTTTAAATTCATTACCATTATTTCAAAAAGTGGATTTAATTTAATTTGCCTTGTGAACTTGACCAAAAAAAGGATTTAAATATATCTATCAATATATAATAATCTATATCTATATTAATAGCCATGCATATATATCTATAAATATATAATCTCTATATAGCTATATATATAATCATCTATATCTAATATATCTATAAATAGATAACCATCTATAGTCATATTCATAATGATACCTGTATCTATATTTATACCTATTGCAATAGATGCCCTTGCTCTTGTGCTAGAAACCTGTATGGCATGTTACTGTATTGAATACTGTAGGCAACTCTAACACAATGGTATTTGTGTACCTAAACATAGAAAAGGGGTAGTACAGGTTAACCTTCAATCTCTAAAGTAATGTTAAATTATGTTGACATTTCTTCTTCTCAAGTTTTTTTTTTCTTTTGGTTTCTATGTACATAGCTCCATTAATAAATTCTATATTAAATTATACACAATTTATATTTTTCTTTTTTTTTTTGAGACGGCGTCTCACACTATTGCCCAGGTTGGAGTGCAGTGGCACAATCTCCACTCACTGCAACCTCTGCCTCCCGGGTTCAAGTGATTCTCCTGCCTCAGCCTCCTGAGTAGCTGGGATTACAGGCACCCGCCACCACTCCCAGCTTTTTTTTTTTTTTTTTGTATTTTTAGTAGAGACAGGGTTTCACTATGTTGGCCAAGCTGGTCTCAAACTCCTGACCTCGTGATCTCCCTGCCTCGGTCTCCCAAAGTGCTGGGATTACAGGCATGAGTCACTGCGCCAGTATATTTTTATGTATATATCTCACCTAAAAGTGGTATCATTCTTCTACTTCCTACTTAATGTTTTGTAATCTTTTAAATGCAATCTCAAATGATGATTTTATAAATCCTTTTGGCCAATGACAAAAAAAGTCTGATTTACTTTTCAAGAGGCTATTTGAAAGCATTTCAAGCTCATTGTTAAGCTTTGGAGAGCACTGCAATCAACTATTGTAAAAACAGAGAAGAATCAAAAGATAGACATATTCCAGCACATTGCTTAAAAGACAACAATTTGACAAGGGATGTTTCAAAGAACGCTTGTCTGTACTGGGGACGCATGACATAGCAAAGCAAGCATGGAATTTGTTCAAGAGGCATTTTCTAAGGCATTGAGTTACTGATATGCTCACCCTGAGTACTAGAATTTGGACTGAAAATATAAATTTCTAAGAGTCTCATTGAAACAGTTCTTAGACACATCCAGGATTTTTATGTTTTTGTTATGTGTGTTTTATTACAGAACACTAAAGACTAAAAAACTTATTAGGTTTGAGCCAATAAACTAACACTTTTTGTAGGAAGGAGAATTTAGTCTCGCCCCTTATTATTATTCTAGTCACAGATGGTTATCCTTTATTTTTTTTTCAGCTAAATTAAAGAATTTTGACTCTTGTGATTGTTCACAAATCCTTTTCATCTTCACCTCCTTCCCAGGAGCCCCTCCTTCTGTCTCTATTTCTTTTGTTTTGGCTTTATCAGTTTGTAAATACCCACAGATTGAATTAGTGTCTGCAGAGGGTCAAAGGTCAGTGCAATTAAATGGTTGATGAAGTGAAATGAAAGCATCTTAGCCTCAATCAGATCCAGCTTCTGCGCAGTTGCTGACACAAACCTCCTATAGAGCTGTTTCTGCAAGAGTCTGACACAGGTTCTAACTCGCAGACACTCTGCTCCTCAGGCATTCAGCTTAGCACCGCTTCATCCAACCTATAGCACATGTTACATTTCCTTTTCCTCAACCCCAGCCGGTAATGAGCCCATAATTTGCGGAAGCCATCCATTGATTACGCTTGGAAGACTCTTAGAAATCAATGAAGAAGCCAAGGCCATGGGAATCACAGTCCAGAGGGTATTAAGGGGAAACAGAATATGTACTTCACTGTCTTAACGTACTTCCGTAAGTACATTCCTCACATCCAGCTCAATCGTGAATACACACACACACACACACACACACACACACACACACACTGCACATAACACTGAATACAATCTCAGCAGTTTTATGTTTACTTTATGTTTAATTTATTCCTTTTAAGAAATTGATGTATAATTCAGCATTACAAAATGAAGAGAGATTTAGCTGTTTTTTTGTTTGTTTGTTTTTGTTTTTTCCGAGACAGCATCTCACTCTGTCCCCCAGGCTGGAGTACAGTGGCGCGATCTCAGCTCACTGCAACCTCTGCCTCCCGGGTTCAAGCAATTCTCCTGCCTCAGCCTCCTGAGTAGGTAGGATTACAGGCTGTGCCGCCACACCTGGTTAATTTTTGTATTTTTAGTAGAGACGGGGTTTCACCATGTTGGCCAGGATGGCCTCGAACTCCTGACCTTGTGACCCGCCCGCCTCGGCCTCCCAAAATGCTGGGATTATAGACGTGAGCCAACACGCCCGGCTAGCTGTTTTGTTTCTAACACAGCCTTTCTATTATCAGATTGGTGCATTGTCTATTATTGATCTTCATTTGTGACTTAAACTGGCAATACCTCTATGGTTTAGTCTGTGTTTGGGCACTGGTCTACAAACTGCAGAGTCTTTTTAATCCTGGCTTCAGTGATTACAAATCCACACTTACGATTGTCATTATTGCTGGTAATTCCATAGTCTTAGTTGATGATGTTACTCCTTTGATGCCTTAGGGATCCTACCAATAGTGGAAATTAGCAGCGTTTCTTATGCATCTTCAAGTCAGCCCATGGCCAATGCCTAAATCTGCTGTTAGAGTCATTCCATTTAATTATTTATCTGTGTCTCATTGGAAGGTTTATAAGCTCACTAAAAAGATAATATTTTTTACATTACATGAAATCACTGTCTATGAGACTTTTCTGAATGATGCTGTCAATGATTCTTATTGGTTGCAGAAGTCTGGAATTTTGTTTTTTAATGAAACCAATCATATTATCTGCAAAATATTTCTTAGATTTGGCCAGGCGTGGTGGCTCATGCCTGTAATGTCAGCATTTTGGCAAGCCAAGGTAGGAGGATTGCTTGAGCCCAGAAATTCCAGACTAACCTGGGCAATATAGTGAGACCCTGCCTCTACAAAAAATAAAAACTGAAGAAAAAAAAAAGCCCGATGTGGTGTACATACCTGTAGTCCCAGCCAGGTGAGAGGGTTGGGTAGGAGGATTACTTGAGCCCAGAGGTTGAGGCTGCTGTGAGCTATAATTGTGCCACTACATTCCAGCCTAGGAGATGGAGTGAGACCCTGTCTTAGAAAGGAAAAAAATTCCTCAGATTTATATGAATAGTCATAAATATATGATTAAAATATACATGTATTCTCCCAATGAGAGATATAATTAAAAACTTAAATATAAAGTAAAATCTATGCTATCAACTAAACAACAGATAGATGCCAAGAGAAAACAATTTTTTTTTTCTCAGAGGTGTAGTGGGGATATTCTCTTATTTGCAAAGAAACCATGAAGAGGGTCATGGACCATATTGAGATATTAGATATGTTTAGGAGCTAAAGAGTAAATTAAGAATCAAAAAGTGGAGGCCAGATGTATAGGTAATACACTCAACCTAGGTCCAGTTTTCGGTGTTATAGAATTAACTTCTGACACAAACACATAAGCAAAATTTATTATGTAGCATGTAAAAAAATTGTAATAAAATCAATGTACACAATGTTGACAACCGATAAACTTCCAGAGAGAAAATATTTTTAAATGTCAGATATGCAGGTGTAGAAAACAAATTAAAATTTAGATACATATATTAGGTTGGTGCAAATATAACTGCAGTTTTAGTTATCACTTCTAATACAAGGGACCCAAAATTGATTTAGGGGTTTTATGACAATTTTATTGTAATTGTCACTCAATATATGTCTCTTTTTCAGCAAAACTAAAACACTGTCTCAGGAAAAAGAGGAATTCTGAAAATAAAATATGGTATATTAGATAAATGATTACAAGAACAGATAAGATTTCAAAATTCTACCCCATTCTTTTATCCAAGAAGTATTTTCCCTTTTTCACATTTGTATGATATACTAAATAATATTTTATTTGGGACAAATCTTTGTTCACTAGGAAGTAGACCTAAATAGTTGAATGTCTCCATAATTAAAACTGATATTCAAAAATTAGAAACCGGGCATGGTGGCTCACCCTGTAATCCCAGCACTTTAGGAGGCCAAGGCGGGCGGACCATTTGAAGTCAGGAGTTGGAGACCAACCTGGCCAACATGGTGAAACCCTGCCTCTACCAAAAATACAAAAGAATGAGCTGGGCGTGGTGGTGTGCGGCTATAATCCCAGCTACTTGGGAGGCAGAGGCATGAGAACTGCTTGAACCTAGGAGGTGGAGGTTGCAGTGAGCCAAGACCCTGCCACTGCACTCCAGCCTGGGTGACAGAGTGAGACCCTGTATCCAAAGGAAAAAAATTAAAGGATAAAAACTATTTTATTAGAAAACTAAGAAAACACTTTTCTCCTGTCTAATAGACACACTCAGTCAATCTCTTATCTTCTAATATTTTTGAAGGTATTCCTGTTATTTGATATGTAGTAATTATTCTTTCAGTTAAAAATTAATAAACAAAGCTAATTGTTACCCTAGAGGCCATCATTCTTCTTGATATTAGAAAAATGTTGTTAAAGCAAGAATAATAATTCTGAGTAGATAGATGTATGATTTATGTGGATAAAAAGATGAAAATGGGAGACAATAATTTTATCCTGAAAAAAATGAATGTTTAAAAGAAATATCTCCTTATCAAGGGTTAATAGGACCTCAGTAGATCATTATCTTTATTTTGAGTTGTATCAACATGACTCTAGCAATAGGCACTAAACTGTTAAAACCATTCACCTAATTTAGTCATTGTCAAATGGCAGAGGGATTGAAGTGACTAATGAATGCCTGATCATATTCTGTTCTTAGAAGCCAGGATTGTTAATCCCTACAATCACCCAACCCATGATTATGTCCTCTCTCAGAAAGAAAATTGGAAATCAGTGGAAAAACAGCATTTTGGTGTAATTGAGATTATGTTTATTCACACAGTGTTTTGTTTTCATTATGTGCTGCCAGACATCTGGATAAAAACTGAAAATTTTAACAAAATATCAACATCTTTGCAAGTGTCTAAATACATTTATGTTTCACTCTAAATATTTGATGAAATTTAGTTTTATCTACAAAATATATATTCTGTTGCTTTGTCATTTTCAAAGTTATTTCTCACTCTAGCATTGCAAACTTGGATACTGTCTGCCTTGGAAGGAGACTGAATATGTTGATGGAATTTTAGAATCAAAAAAGATTAAAATAATGCTGACTAACTTAATTCGTGGCTAATAATTTTAAGAGTAAAATGGTTCACTTTTTAATATTCATGACCAAGTATAGCAAAAACCTTTGTTTTATACAATAAATGTTCTTTAGTTCTCCTGCAATAAAATAATCTTTAACATTAAAATAATTAAAATGAAAAAGAAAAGTTAAACAAGGGTTTCTCTATTTGTATTATTACTGTGTAGTATATTCTTTGAAGTTTTCCTGATTGGAATAATAAAATAGTCAAGGAAAAAATTGAAAATGACAATAAATTATTATTTTCTGATGATATAATTTCTCATGGATATTTCATGGCACATTTTTAGAAGTATAAAATGTAAAAATCTAAAAAAGTTGAATACATAGAAGGAAAGAGAATGCTGGTTGTCAGGATTTGGGAAACTCTGGAAAATGGGGAGTTGGTCAAAGAGTAAAACCTTTCGGTAATAAGATGAACAATTTCTAGATACCTAATATACATCATGAGTGGGGATGGATTTGTTATTTTGATTGTGGTAATTATTACACAGTGTCTATATAAAATCATCATGTTGTATACCTTAGAATATATACAATTTTTATTTGTCATTTAAACATTTTAAAATTTAAATAAAGAAGCATTTAAAATCTATTATTTGAGGTTTTACTGATTAAATAATAATTCTTCAAGTGTTTTATAGGCTAGGATAAATCATATCCTTAGAAAAATAATTGATTTTTATTTTCAAATGGTTGCATTAATTCTACTTTATTTGATTTAATGATTAAGATGGATAAAATTAATTTTTGTCTCTAACAAAAATTACTTACAAAGAAAAATTGAAAATATATTCTATTTTCTTTGAGGCAAAAATAAAATAAAATAGAAATACAATTAAAACATTGGCACAGAACCTACATGAAGAAATTATATAATCTAATCGAAAGATATAAAACCAGGTCAGAATAAGTGACAAGTGATTCCACAATATCAATAAAGAAGTTTACTATCACAAAAGTCGAATTTCCTAAAACTTATACAAACTAAATACATTTCAAAACAATTGCAACAGTAATTTTTATATTCATAAAAAATAACCTTAAATATATGCTAAAAATAGATATCGAATACAACCAAGAAAATTTGCAAAAGAATAGTGACTATCAAATATTATTACATTAATTATCACAACATACAAATCCATCTTAATCAGATCAGTATTATGTTGGCAAATGACAATTTAATCACGGAAATAATAGGACACCCAAAAGTAGATTATAATATAAATAACCGAATATAATACAAGCCATTTTTTTGATTCAGTGAGTTACATGGTTTGGCTATATCTCCACCCAAATCTTACCTGGAATTGTGGCTCGCATAATCCCCACATGTCTGAAGGACCCAGTGGAAGGTAACTGAATCTTGGGGGCGGATTTTTCCTGTGCTATTCCCATGACAGTCAACAAGTCTCATGAGATCTGACGGTTTTATAAAGGGCAATTCCCCTGCACATACTCTCTTGCCTGTCACCACTTAAGACGTCCCTTTGCTCTTCCTTCACCTTCCGCCATGATTATGAGGCCTCCCCAGCCATGTCAAGCTGTGAGTCGATTAAACCTATTTTTCTTTATAGATCACCCAGTCTTGGGTATTTTTTCATAGCACTATGACAACAGATTAACAGAGTGAAAAAAATGTGCAATGGAACTGGGGATGAGCTAGTGGTCTAGAAAACTGAAGGCTTACACATAAAAATAAAGATAAAATGCATGAAAATTCAGGAGAAATAGATCATGTGCAATCTGGAGGTAGATAAATTTTTAAAATTTAAGCAACATGTTTTCAAGAAATGGTAGACATATATAAATATTTAAAATATTTGGATGACTAAATATACTATTGAAAAATCAGTATTCAATTGAGTATCCGTCACACATAAGAATGATAAAAGACTATCATCTATGCTATGCAAGAGATCTTTTCTTCCTACATGTAAAGTGACTCTTTGGGCAGCTGTTTAACTAATGGATATGTACCATTTACCTGTAAATTAGTTGCTGATTTTTTGTTTTATGTCTTTTATCATATCATTTGTCCCATTGGGTCTATTCTTTCTTGTAACATTTTTTCTTGTATTTGTCTTCTTTTGAAATAAATGTTTCCTCTTTTATTAGCATTTTGTTATTGATCCTTTTTAGCAAAAGGCAGACCATTTTTTAGCAGTTAAAGTGGAAATAAAAATTTATGTAAATGACTTCTAATTTTTAAGTGAATGTTATTTTCAAGAAAATGCTAATATCTTAGAACAATTTATTTAAATTTAATGCCTGTCATGCCTTTTAATTCCTCATATCTTTTAAAGCCATGCATATTATTGTGATAAATCTGTATAACTGTGCACAATTAAAATTCATTTATATTTTCACACATATTTACACTTTCCTTTTTTCTTCATTATTTCTGCATATCTCTATTTTCTGCTGATACAATTTTTCCTTGGTCAAAGTAGTCCTCTTGTGATTTAATATGTGGTACATTTTTTTCTGAAGAAAATCTATATTTGCTTCTCAATTAAAAATGATTGTGCTGAGTATAAAAGCATGAATTGGCAATTAGTTTCTTTCAGCAAATATTTAAAGATATTTTTGGTCTGTCTTTTCAGTTTAAAAAATAGCCTATTGTTCATTTGAAGAAGTATGACATTTTGAATACGCATTCATAAAGACACATGGACTAAGGTGTGGTTTTCAACTGGCATATAAAAGATGTAGCTGGTTGACCTGATGTTCTTGAAAAGTTTTGCAGAATTTTAGTCAATATCTCTTAAATTATTGCTGCTTCTCCATCTCTCTCTTTGCTTCTTTGATTCTAATGTAACATATATAAGCTCTCCTTTCAAATCGCTTTTAAAAATTGTTTTTACTCCTTTTGCCTTTTTTTTAGTCTGAATATTTTCTATTGACCTATTTTGCAGTTCAGCCTTCCTCTCTTCTGCTACATCCAATCTGCTAATACTTAATTCAGTTTTTAATTTAAATTATTTTATTTTTTATTCTAGATTTTCTACATTATTCTTTGTATAGATTTCTGTTTTCTGGTCAGTTTTATATCTTGTTAACAGTTTTTGAATATACTATTTTTTTTAAGTCTGTAGCTTATAACTTCGGTATCAAAGTAAAATTTTGATCGTCTCCTATGATATCTACATTGCCTTGACTTCATTTTGGGATATAACCAGCAACTTTGAAAAAAAAAATTTACAGGCCATGAATGTTACTGCCTTTCTTTCTTTTCTTTTCTTTTCTTTCTTTCTTCTTTCTTCCTTTCTTCCTTTCTTCCTTTCTTTCCTTTCTTTCCTTCCTTCCCTTCCTTCTTTCCTTCCTTCCTTCCTTCCTTCCATCCTCCCTCCCTCCCTCCCTCCCTCTCTCTCTCCTTCCTTCCTTCTTTCTTCTTTCTTTCTTTCTTTTCTTTCTTTCTTTCTTTCTTTCTTTCTTTCTTTCTTTCTTTCTTTCTTTCTTCTGTTTCTCTTTTCTTTCTTTCTTCTGTCTTTTCTTTCTTTCTTTCTTTCTTTCTTTCTTTCTTTCTTTCTTTCTTTCTTTCTTTCTTTCTTTTACTTTAAGTTCTGGGATATATGTGCAGAACATGCAGGTTTGTTACATAGGTATACATGTGTCATGGTCGTTTGCTGCACCCATCAACCCGTCATCTACATTAGGTATTTCTCCTAATGTTATCCCTCCCTTGCCCCTCATCCCCCGACAGGGCCTGGTGTGTGATGTTCCCCTCCCTGTGCCCATATGTTCTCATTGTTCAACTTCCACTTATGAGTGAGAACATGTGGTGTTTGTTTTTCTGTCCCTGTGTTAGTTTGCTGAGAATGATGGTTTCCAGCTTCATCCATGTCCCTGAAAAGGATATGAACTCATTCTTTTTATGACTGCTTAGTATTCCATGGTATATATGTGCCACATTTTCTTTATCCAGTTTATCATTGATGGGCATTTTGGTTGGTTCCAAGTCTTTGCTATTGTGAATAGTGCTGCAGTAAATATATGTGTGCGTGTGTCTTTATTAGTAGAATGATTTATAATCCTTTGGGTATATACCCAGTAATGAGATTGCTGGGTCAAATGGTATTTCTAGTTCTAGATCCTTGAGGAATCTCCACACTGTCTTCATTCACAATTGCTACAAAGAGAATAAAATACCTAGGAATATAACTTATGAGGGATGTGAAGGACCTCTTCAAAGAGAGCTACAAACCACTGTTCAAGGAAATAAGAGAGGACACAAAGAAATGGGAAAACATTCCATGCTACTGGGTAGAAAGAATCAATATCATGAAAATCGCTATACTGCCCAAAGTAATTTATAAATTCAATGCTATTCCCATCAAGCTACCATTGACTTTCTTCACAGAATTAGAAAAAACTACTTTAAATTTCATATGGAACCAAAAAAGAGCTTGTATAGCCAAGACAATCCTAAGCAAAAAGAACAAAGCTGGAGGCATCACAGTACCTGACTTCAAACTATACTACAAGGCAACAGTAACCAAAACAGCATGGTACTGGTACCAAAACAGATATATAGAACAATGGAACAGAACAGAGGCCTCAGAAATAACACCACACATCTATAGCCACTGCCTTTTTCTAGTGAGTATTTACTAACCTATTCTCTAATAGGTGGCTAGACAGGAGGAACATCACTTTAATTCAATCTGAAACTGATTTAGTTTATTCCAGACTAGGTTGCTATTGTGATGATACTTAATTTAAATCTCATTTTGTGGTTTTCTAGGCCACTGCTTTCTCAGTGTCTCAACTGAGAGCATGGGATATTTCCTAGGACCTTGTCTAATTGGAAGGTCCTGAATTTTTGTTTTCTTGGCACCAGGAGTCTGCCTTTCGGTGGTTTCTTCTTACCTCCTTAGGCTCTTATCCTACCAAACTGGAGAATTGGGTATGGGATTATTCTCCTTTCTCTTCAAAACATTGGTCTCTTTAATTCTAAATTTTCTGGATGCTATGAACTTCAAGTTTTATATCCTATGTGCCACATAATTATGAAAACTTCACTGGCTTCTCTGACTCTTAGCTCCTTCCCTATTTTAGGACTGTTAGTCTTATGATCAAAACCAAGAGTTGGCAAGGGCCCAGAAAAGAAATGCAACTCATAGTATGTTTACTCACTTACCTGTTCCTTAATACCTGATTACCTAGCCAGCTCTCTGATTCTTTCAATCAGGTATTTTATTTATTTTTCTGAAATTTAGTTTTATACCTTTATTTTATTACTGTTATATTTTGAATAATGAAATCATTAAGGTACAAAACAATGGACTATCATGAGTGTTTAATTCTTAGCATTTGAGTAGAAAATCTTTGAGTTTAATGTAGCGTTAACACAAATACTCTAACACAATGCAACTATTATTAAAGTGACTTCTAAACCACTGAATCCATAGTGCATTATTATTTATGCATACTTCCAAGATTTTGTATACGTGTATTACCTGCAAGATCAAATAACTAGAACAGAAAAAAAAAAAGAATACAGGAGGAGTTATTGTTTAACTCAGTCTCAATTTGGGGAGATAAAAAGTTTCAGAGGATGGGTGGTGGTTGTAATTGAAAAATGTTAATATATTCGTGTGAGTGTGTGTGTGTGTATGTGTTTATGTGTGTGTGTATGTGTGTGAGTGAGATGGTGTCTTGCTTTTTTCTCCAGACTGGTCTCGAATTCTTGGGGTCAAGCTTCCTCCCACCTCACCGTCCCAAGTTGTTGGGAATGCAGGTGTGTGCCAGCATTCCTTGCTCAATATTAATATTTTCAATACCACTGAACTCTACACTTGAAAATGGTTAAAATTATAAATTTTATGTTATGCATATTTTACCAAAATAAAAAGTACATATTTAAAACAGTAGTCAAGAAAGCAAATTTGAAATAATTTTTAACTTAATCAGTAGTAAATTTTATTTAAGGATTCTGTCATACCAAATGTGATCTCAGTCAGATTTACATTATACTTTAACATCTATGAACCATATTACACTAGTCATTCTTCCCATTTTATTGGTATAAACATGAACTTGCTTTTTATACATATTTGGGTTCTAAGATATTAAAAATGTAATACTGTGCATTGGGAGGTCCATAAAATAAATCAAAATATACTTTATCTGCTGAACTATGGCAAGCAAATGATAAGCATATATTATAAAAATTGTCAGAAAGGGTTCATGGAGGAAGTGATAGATAAGATGAACCTTAAAAAATACACATATATATTTTCATGATAATTCAAATTTTCAATACCAGTCATCAAAGAGAAAAGTTTACTTTCAATCATGGTATTAAAATATGTGAATTAATTTATTAAGTGCTAAAACACTTACAATTACTTTTAGAATTTTTTTAATAGTAGACTATTTCCAAATTCAAAACATTTTCTCTTTAGGTTGTTTTGTCATTTCACAATTTCAGCTAACCTGTCGGGACACTCTTTTCTCTATTTATTTTTCAAGTATGATGCCATTTAGTCTATTTTTCTAGTTTAGCAAGATACAAACTCCAAAGTCTTTAAAACACCATGGGAAACAGAATTTTATGTTTGTTTTTTCAAAGGGAGGGTAATCTTTTCCACTGTAGTAAAAAGCTTATTTTGCATTGAGTCATACAGAATCACAGTCTACAATCCAAGGGCTGGTGGACCATATGTTTTTCCTTTACCTGAACATTGCCAGGTACTTTGTCAAGCCCCCGGTTGAAATGATTCTGAGGTATTTTACACTGTTGCAGCATCTTATACTACAGTAAAAAAAATGCAATTACCTTAATGAAATCCCGTGACAGCACTGCAATCATGTAAGAAAACAGGAAGAGTCAATATCAATTTTTGTCTATGGTTCCAAAATTACATGAGGCAGCATGTGAGGCATGAAAAAATCAAAACAAAATTTTAAAAAGGTCCTCCCAGCTTTACTATAGCCTTTCTCAATTAATGTAACTTCACCTCTGACTATGCCTGATCTGGAGGTTCTTTGCTTAATGTCACCAAAGTTTTGTGGTAGTTGAATGTTATTTCTATTGAAAGTTTAAGGTTTTTTTTTTAATTTAAACTATTGCCTCCTCTCTTCAGTATAACCAAACAAAATATCCTAGTATTATAAAAATATGAAAGAGAGGATCAGTATTTATTTATAAGTTAATTTTTATAAGAAGAATAATAATGCAAAATTCAAGTGAATTAGATATTATAAACTAAACAAAGAGACCCAGAATGAAGAAAAACTTGAAAAGACTATTGGCTGAGCTATAATGATTATGATGGCCATATTTAAATCCTTACTTAAAGTGCTTTTAGAGATTTTTGTTGTTGTTGTTGTTTCATTTTGTTTGAAGACAGGGTCTCACTCTGTCACCCAGGCTGGAGTGCCAATTAGTCAGGCTGGAGCCCAATTATGGCTCGCTGCAGCTTCAAACTCCTGGGCTCAAGAAATCTTCCTGCCTCAGCCTCCTGAGTAGTTGGGACTACAGGTGCATGACACTGTGCCCAGCTAAGTTTTTAACTTTTTTTTTTTATAGAGATGAGGTCTTGTTATGATGCCCAAGCAGGTCTGGTACTCCTGGCCTCAAGAGATCCTGGGACTCAGCCTCTCAAAGGGCAGGGATTACAGGCATGAGCCACTGTGCCTGGCCTTAAAATGTGTTTTGTATATTGCAATTTACCTTTAAAAAAATTCAACTTGCATTCACTTTTGTACTCACATTATGATTCCTTAAATGTTAAAGGTCATAAATATTTTTCAGGGTTTTTTTGTTTTGTTTTCCCTTTTTTTTTTTCTTTATTTTGGAGACAGGTTCTCATTCTGTCACCCAGACTGGTGTACAGTGGTGCAATCTCAGCTCACTGAAGCCTCGATATCCCAGGCTCAAGTCATTCTCCCACTAGAGCCTCCCTGAATAGCTGGGACTACAGGAATGCATCACCACACCTGGCTAATTATTTTCTTTTATATTTTATATATATATTTTTGTAAATCTGGGGTTTCACCATGTTGCCCAGAATGGTCTTGAACACCTGGGCTCAAGTGATCTGGCCGCCTTGGCCTCCTAAAGTGTTGGGATTACTGGTGTGAGTCACCGCACCCAGCCAGTATTTCTTTTTTTTTCTTTTCTTTTTAATAATTTGTTTCACGAGGTTGAAAGAGAAGTTCACTTATCCATTTCTGGTCTACATACATCTTTTAGAAATCACTTATGAACAATTTCAATTACATATTTGTTTCCAATCAAGAGTTTCACATAGTAAACACATTTACTGTTTTCTTTTTTGTTTGTTTGTTTGTTTTTTGGTCTTTGGTTTTTGAGACAGAGTCTTGCTCTGTCGCCCAGGCTGGAGTGCAACAGCATGATCTTGGCTCATTGCAGCCTCTGCCTCCCAGGTTCAAGCGATTCTCCTGCCTCAGCCTCCTGAGTAGTTGGGATTACAGACACCCACCACCATGCCTGGCTAATTTTTGTATTTTTGGTAGAGACGGGGTTTCTCTATATTGGTCAAGCTGGTCTTGAACTCCTAAACCGGTGATTCGCCCACCTTGGCCTCCCAAACTGCTGGGATTATGGGCATGAGCCAGTGCGCCCTGCCCACATTTACTGTTTTTTATACTTCATTCAAATTATTTGTATATACTCTTCAAACAAAAGCCATTAAAAAATGCAAATAGTTTTTTCAAAGATCCTAATGTTGTCCACTTTCTTGTGTATTTTTATCACAGATCCTTTTTAATAATCTTTTGTTATTTTCTGCTTTTATTTATAAACCATGTGAAATTGTCATACCCTCTTAAACTACCCAAGGGCTATATTTAATTTACTGACAAGTCAAACACTTTCCATAAGCGAGTATTTCAAAACATTATTAATCACCAGATAAAAAAGCTTAGATGTATCAGGTTCAGTTTGTAGAAGATATTAATAGAAACACTTGAAAAATGATACCTGTTAATGATTGGAAATTTCTTTAATATGTTGAAATTAATAAAAAGTAATGTGGCAAATCTAAATTATTTTTGAAATAAAAATAACACAAAGTATTTCAGAAGCAGCAAAGTTTTATTAGCCTAAATACTTAGGATCCAAGTAAGAATATTTGGCCACTTTATGCTCTAGGGAAGTATTTTAACAATAAAATTGCCATCATAAAATATAATGCCAGACAAAATGGTACTTCTTTACACAGCTTTTGCCAAAATCTTGATAACTTTCAAAATAAGAACCACACTGAAGTGAAAATCTGGGGTTTTCATTTTTAACATATTTTAATGTAAATAGTATTCATCCAAAATATTGTCATAATCTATCTAAGTCAAAATGCAACAATTGCAAAGTGCACTAAATTTATTTATTGATTTTCTAAAACAAAATATATTTAAACAGATATATTTCAACCATTAGAATAGGAACCAAACTGGGTAGAAAATATATGAGGTGATCTTCCAGTTTTTCCAAACATGATTACAAAATTTTGCAGTTTAATCACTTGATATACACATAGTTTAACAAACAAGACAAAAAGATACGGGAAAGTCTACAAAGACCATTCAGATTTTTATTTTACCAGGGTACCATGTTGTATTCAATAGGATAAAAAAATAAAGAAACAATGAAACAAAAAAATCTATTGTTGAGTTTGTTTTACCTGATATATTTGTAATTAAGTATAATATTTTCATAAACATGGCTGCAAAATTTATGACTAAAAATAAGTATAAGAGATTGGGACTTATTATTTTTTCAGAAGATCTTTTTAAAGGATTCTATTCAAAAATATTCACTAGTCTATCTCTCTCATATTCCTATTTTAAAAGCTACCAGAAAAAACAGCAATACATACCGTTTTTTGGAAATACTGTTATATTAAAAAACCAGGAGGGGTCCCAAATTTTAATAAAACTAGACTTCTCAGTGTTGAATTAAAGACTCCCTTTCCATCGTTCTGAAAGAGAATGAAGGGTAGTGAGTCACATCAGAACAAAATTAAAGACAATAGACAAGCTACTGGTATTGTGATCACAGGCAATTTAATTCACCTCTTGAATGTTCCTTGTTCATGTATAAAATTAGAGTAATTCTATTTGTTAGCATGCTTTCAGCTACAAAATATAGAGAAGAGGCCAAGTTGAAAAAAAGGCTTAAATAATATAAAACTTGATTAATTTACAGAAGAGGGAGTCCAGAAATGCTTCCACTCCTGGCCAGAGTCGATCTGCATTCTGGCCCTGATTTTTTCCTCTTGTCCTGTCTGCACAGTCTGCCATATGCTGGCCATGTCCACACAGGCTGGCTTCCCTCATGGACAGAAGTTGCCTGCCAGAAATCTCCAGGACCACATGCTTCCTTAGTCATCCAGGAGAAAAGAAATATTCTGTATTCCTTTTAGTTTTCTCCAAAAATGAGAAGTATTTTCCAATAAATTGCTAGCAAAACTGTCCTGAGAGATTACTGGCCAGAATTTAATCATATGACCATTCCGAAACTTATTACTAGAATACCATTGGATCAACAAGGCCAATCCCTTTGTCAGTTCTCCAAATGGATACTAGGAAGTCAAATATTCACTGAAAGTGCATACGCATGTTAGAGAATAGTTTTAAGTGAAACCACATTTGTAAAATACCAAGTATAGTGGCTGGCATAAAATAAGAGTTCAACACACAGTATTTTGCTAGGATATGGGAATAGCAATGGTGGTGGAATTTATTCACTATCCCTTGAACTGTATTTTCCATCTAATTTCTGGGTTGTTATTTGCAAACCTTCAATTGTCTTTTAATTGTAGCATTTCTTTCCTTGCCCATACATTGTTAGAACAATCTAGTGATACGTTTCTTTTCCAAATGCAGAATTCACTGGGTTATTGTGGCAGATTATATACATATATCTTTCTGCATCATAATCATGTTTTAGACACCTTGATTCTATGAACTTTAGAGAAGAGAATCACCATCTTGTTACAGGAGTTTGTTTTTTATTCTAAGTTACAGACATATCTCAGAGATACTGTTGGTTTTGTTCCAGACCACTGCAACAAAGAGAACATCACAAACAAGCAAGCCACAAAAATTATTTGTCTTACCAAGATATATAAAAGTATGTTTATACTACACTGTAATGTATTAAGTGCAAAATAGCATCATATTTAAAAAACGTACATGCTTTTGTTCAAAAATACTTTATTGCTAAATATACTAACATTCATCTGAGCCTTTAGCCAGTTGTAATCTTTTTTCCTGATGGGGAGCCTTGCCTTGTTGCTAATGGCTGCTGACTGATAAGGATGGTGTTTGCTGAAGGTTAAGGTCACTGTGACAATTTTAAAATAGACAACAATGACATTTGCTGACTTTGTTTTTTTTTTTTCCCCACAAAAATTTCTCTGTCACGTGGAATACTGTTTAATGACATTTTACCCACAGTGAAACTTCTTTCTAAATTGGAGTCAATTATCTCAAGCCTTGCCACTGCTTTAGCAACTAAGTTTATATAATATGGTAAGTCTTTTTTTTAATATTTAAACAATGTTCACATCATCTTCACAAAGAGTAGATTCCATTTCAAGAAACCAATTTCTTTGTTTTTCCATGTTATGCAACTCCTAACCCATTCAACCTTTGTCATGAGATTGCAGCATTTCAGTCACATTTACAGGCCTCACTTCTAATACTAGCCCTCTTCCTATTTCCAACATATCTTGAGTTACTTCCTCCACTGGTGTAAAAGTCATCCATGAGCATTGGAATCAATTTCTTTTAAACAACTATTAATGTTAATATTTTGATGTCTATTAATTATGAATATTTTAATGGCATCTAGAAAAGTAAATCATTTCCAGAAGTTTATAGATTTCTTTTGCTCAGATCCATCAGACAAATCAGTATTTATGGCAGCTATAGCATTAAGGAATGCATTTCTTAGTAAGACTGAACTATCAAAAAATTACTTCTTGACCCATGAGCTGCAGAATGGATGTTGTGTTAGCAGGCATAAAAACTATATTCATCTTCTTACACATCTCCATTAAAGCTCTTGGGTGACCAGGTACCTTATCAATGAGCATTAGTATTTAGAAAGAGTCTTTCTTTTCTGAGCAGTAGGTCTCAACAGTGGGCTTAAACTATTCAGTAAATCATGCTGTAAACAGACCTGCTGTCATCCCAGCTCTGTTGTTTTATTTATAGAGTACAGAGTAGATTTAGCATAATTCTTACAGATCCTGGGATTTTTTTGGAGTGGTAAATGAGCAATGGCTTTAACTTAAAGTCACAAGATGTATTAGCCCCTAAAACAAGAGAGTCAACCTGTACTTTGAAGCTTTGAAGCCAGGTGTTGACTTTTCTCTAGCTATGAAACTCCTAGATAGAATCTTCTTCCAATGGAAGACTGTTTTATCTCCATCAAAAATCTGTTGTTTAGTGTAGCTACATTTATCAATGATCTCAGCTAGACCTTCCAGATAAATCGGTGTAGCTTCTGCATCAGCACTTGCTAGCTCACTTTGCTCATAATTTTATGTTATGGAGATGGCTTCTTTCTTAAACTTCATGAACCAATGATTTCTAACTTCAAATTTTCCTTGCAGCTTTCTCACCTCTTTCAGCCTTCATAACATTTCAGAGAGTTAGGGTCTTGCACTGGATTAGGCTTTGTCTTAAGGTAATGTGGCTAGTTTGATCATCTATCAAGACCAATAAAACATTCACCATATCAGCAATAAGGCTGGTTCACTTTCTTATCATTTATGTGTTCAATGGAGTAGCGCTTTTAATTTCCTTCAAGGCCCTTTCCTTTGTATTTACATCTTGGCTCACTGTTTTGCGCAAGAAGCCTACCTTTTAGCTTTTCTCAGCTTTTGACATGTTTTCCTTAATAAATGTGTCATTTCTAGCTTTTGGTTGAAAGTGAGGGATGTGCAACTCTTCTTTTTATTTGAATGCTAAGAGGCTGTTTTAGGATTACTAATTAGTATGGTTTGGCTGTGTCTCCACCCAAATCTCATCTTGAATACCCATGTGTTGTGGGAGGGACCTGGGGAGGTAATTGAATCATGGGGGCAAGTCTTTCTCATGCTGTTCTCATGATAGTGAATAAGTCTCATGAGATTTGATGGTTTTAAAAAGAGGAGTTCTCTTGCCTGCTGGCATCTGTGTAAGACAAGACTTGCTCTTCCTTGACTTTTTCCATGATTGTGAGGCTTCCCCAGCCATGTGGAACTATAAGTCCAATTAAACCTCTTTCTTTTGTAAATTGTCTAGTCCCAGGTATATCTTTATTAGAAGCATGAAAACAGACTAATACAGTAAGTCGGTACCAGTAGAGCGGGGCATTGCTGAAAAGATACCCAAAAATGTGGAAGTGACTTTGCAACTGGGTAACAGGCAGATGTTGGAACAATTTGGAGGGCTCAGTAGAAGACAGGAAAGCATGGGAAATTTTGGAATTTCCTAGGGATTTGTTGAATGGCTTTGACCAAAATGCTGATAGTGATATGAACAATAAGGTCCAGGCTGAGGTGGTCTCAGATGGAGATGAGGGACTTGGTGGGAACTGGAGCAAAGGTGACTCTTGAGATGTTTTAGCAAAAAGACTGGCAGCATTTTGCCCCTTCTCTAGATATTTGTGGAACTTTGAACTTGAGAGAGATGATTTAGGGTATCTGGCAGAAGAAATTTCTAAGCAGCAAAGCAAGTAACCCAAAAGTTTACTTGGGTGCTGTTAACAGCATTCAGTTTTATAAGGGAAGCAGAGCATAAAAGTTTGGAAAATTTGCAGCCTGACAATGCAATAGAAAACAAAATCCCATTTCTGAGGAGAAACTCAAGCCAGCTGCAGAAATTTGCATAGGTAATGAGGAGACAAACATTAATCCCCAAGACAATGTGGAAAATGTCTCCAGGGCATGTCAGAGGTCTTCAAGGCAGCCCCTCCCATCACAAGCCTGGAGGCCTAGGAGGAAAAAGTGGTTTCCTGGGCCTAGCATCCCTGTGCTGTGTGCAGCCTAGGGACTTGGTATCCTGCATCCCAGCCACTCAGTCAGCCATGGCTGAAAGGGGCCAACATAGAGCTTGGGCCATGGCTTCAGAGAATGCAAGCCTCAAGCTTGGCGGTTCCAGCATGGTGTTGAATCTGTGAGTACACAGAAGTCAAGAATTGAGGTTTGGGAACCTCTGCCTAGATTTCAGAAGATGTATGAAAATGCCTGAATGTCCAGGCACAAGTTTGCTACAGGGACAGGGCTCTCATGGAGAACCTCCACTAGGGCAGTGCAGAAGGGAAATGTGGGGTCAGAGTCCCCACACAGAGTTCCTACTGGGTCATTGCTTAGTTGAGCTATGAGAAGAGGGTCACTCTCCTCCAGACCCCAGAATGGTATATCCACTGACAGCTTGCACTGTATGCCTGGAAAAGCTGCAGACACTCAAGACCAGCCCATGAAAGCAGCCAGGAGAGAGGCTGTACCCTGCAAAACCACAGGGGTGGAGCTGCCCAAGGCCATAGGAACCCATCTCTTGCATCAGCATGACCTGGATGTGAGGCATGGAGTCAAAGGAGATCATTTTGGAGCTTTAAGATTTGACAGCCCTGCTGGATTTCAGACTTGCATGGGACCTGTAGCCCCTTTGTTTTGGCCAATGTCTCCCACTTGTAAAGGCTGTATTTACCCAAGTCCTGGACCCCAACTGTATCTAGGAAGTAACTAAACTGCTTTTGATATAACAGGCTCATAGGTGGAAGGGACTTGCCTTGTCTCCAATGGAACTTTGGACTGTGGACTTTTGAGTTGATGCTGAAATGTGTTAAGATTTTGGGGAACCGTCTGGAAGGCATAACTGGTTTTGAAATGTGAGGATATGAGATATGGGAGGGACCAGGTGCGGAATGATGTGGTTTGGCTGTGTCCCCACCCAAATCTCATCTTGAATTCCTAAATGTTGTGGGAGGGACCCAGTGGGAGGTAATTGAATCATGGGGGCAAGTCTTTCCCATGCTGTTCTCGTGATAGTGAATAAGTCTCATAAGATCTGATGGTTTTAAAAATAGGAGTTCCCCTGCACAAGCAATCTCTCTTTGCCTGCTGCCATCCATGTAAGACGTGACTTGCTCTTCCTTGCCTTCCACCATGATTGTCAGGCTTCCCAGACAGGCAGAACTATAAGTCCAATTAACCCTCTTTCTTTTGTAAATTGCCCAGTCACAGGCATGTCTTTATCAGCAGTGTGAAAACAGACTAATTTTAATATTGTGGCATGTCAGTGAATAGGGGGCCTGAGGAGAAGGAAGGACAGATGGGGGAATGCCCAGTCTGTGGAGCAGTTGGAATACACACAGTATTCATTCATTAAGTTCTCCATATTATATGAGCACATGCTACTGAAAAATGATGCTGATAGACTTGCTCTCAATGCAGGTTGCCACAACTCTGCAATTTGTTAAAAAAAATAAACAAAATGAAACAAAACAACAACAAAAAAACCACAGCATCTGTGAAGGGCAACAAAGCAAAGCATAATAAAAGAAGATATGCCTGTCTTCATGACCTATAAGAGTCTTACTTTGCAAGTTAAGTTCACTTGACTTTCATATTAATTATTCCTTTTCATTCTCAGCAAATCTGCCCTTTCTTTTAAACCCCAACCAGAAACTCAACAACTTCTAGTTGAAGCTATCTCTAAGTGCCCATTTATCACTCATCCTCAATTCTTTCAGTACTGTGTGCTATGACCCTTTCTTAGTTCATTAATTGTTTTATCATTGTACCCCACCTGTTGGAAATGCAATGTAACATATTTTCCACATCTTGGGAAAGGGTATGTGGAGCGTGTTAGTTTCCAAGACTGCCATAACAAATTAGCAAATTCAAGTGGTTAAAATTTGGATCACGAATATTTACTGCCTCACAGTTCCAAAGGGTACAAGTCCAAAATCAAAGTGCTGGCAGGGTTGATTCCTCTGAGAGCTGTGGGGAGGAATCTGTTCCATGCCTCTTGTCTAACTTCTGGTGGCCACAAGCATTTCTTGACTGGCAGATAACATTCTCCATGTGCTTTCACACTGTCTTTCTCCGCATATGTTTGTCTTTTTGTTCAAATCTCCTCTTTGTATAAGGAATCCAGATATATTGGTTTAGGTCCAACAATAATGTCCTCATTTTAACTTCATTATCTTTGTAAATACCCCATTTCCAAAGGAGATCACCTTCTGAGCTATTGGGAATTAGACTTCAATATATCTTTCTTGAGGGACACAACTCAACTCATAATAGGAAGGAAACATAACTAAATCAAAGGACCAAAAATGAAGAACTGAAATGGCCCCAAAGTATATTTGATAGCATAGGGTTTTGCAATTTGCAAAAAATAGTTACATAGACCACTAGGCTTAATAACTAGAAAAAAATAGTACATTAGAAACTACTGAGTTGATGCAAAAGCAATTGTCATTTCTATTATTACTTTTAATTTCATTTTAATTACATTTCACCATTACTTTTAGTGCAAAAATCACAATTACTTTTGCACCAAGCTAATACTACTTGCGGTTCTCTTCTTAAACTCTTGCTGTGAAGCATTACTTCCAAAAATATATTTTAATGCCTTCTTCAAATAATATTGTCTTATATAAATAATGGAGGATTATTTAGTGATTTGACAATAGGAAAAAGCGTACCTTAAACTGAGGATTAATATCACAGGTTTGCTTTTTTTTTTTGAATGCATCGGTTGGAGAAAACTATTTTCCAAATTATTGTAGTTTATGTCTGTGTGTATATGCACACAGTGTAACATGAATTACTGATGTTCCTTAGTCTTGGCAAAACATACTGCATATATATAGATCACCAAGTGATTTAGACTAATATTATGTTTCCTAAAATGTTTTTTGTTTTGTTTTTCAACTCTTATTTTAGGTTCAGGGGTACATGTTCAGGTTTGTAATATGGATAAATTGTGTGTCACTTGGTTTGGTGTAAATTCTTTCATCACCAGGTAATCAGCACAGTACCCAATAGGTGGTTGTTTGTTCCTCACTTTCCTCCCACTCTCCACCCTCGAGTAGGCCCCAGTGTCTGTTGTTTCCTTCTCTGTGTCCATATGTACTCAATGTTTAGCTCCCACTTGTAAGTGAGAACATGTGGTATTTGGTTTTCTATTCGTGTGTTAGTATCGTTAGCATAATAGCCTCTAGTTCCATCAATGTTTTTGCAAAAGACATAATATTCTTTTTGTGTCTTCATGGTATTCTGTGGTATATATGCACCATATTTTCTTTATTCAGTCTACTGTTAAGGGACACCTAGGTAGATCCCATGTCTTTGCTATTGTGAATAATGCTATGGTGAATGTATTTATGCATGTATCTTTATGGTAGAATGGTTTATATTTCTTTCAGTAATTATTCAGTAAAGGGATTGCTGGGTTGAATGGCAAAATCATTTTAAACCAAACCTCTCTCTAACATGGCTGAACTAGTTTAGTCTCCTAGTAGCAGTGTATGAGCCAACATGCTTTTTGAGTCATGTTATCTAACTAACTAGAATAAGTGAAGTCTGACTGATTCAGACTTGAGGTATCATATTTTTGTAAATAAACATTTCCAAATATAAAACTTTAAGGGTATTAAATGTTTTGGAAAACACTGACCTTACTTTGAATTATAAACCATAATAAAATGAAGTTACCAAAATAGGAAAAGATACAAATCATTATCCTATGCTAATCAGTCAAATAGAAAACATATTTAATCTCTTAATTGTTTAATCATTTCCTGAGTAAATACTACCTATTTTAAAACAGCCATAGTACTTGGTGATAGTAATTAAATAAAAAATCTTTTTTAAAAATCTTATTCTAGCATGAGGGAGTGATATATAATGAAATATTTCAAATACTGTGTAACTAATGCAATATTAGAGGGAATGAACACTGCTGAGGCTTAGGAAAGAGTAGAAAGAGTTATATTTACCTGCTCTGATCTTGAAAAGATTTCACAACTCAGGGTATTAATTATAAAAGATGTTCTGTGCCTTTGCATAGCATTCATTTATATACAACTAGTAACTATTTTTCTTCATTCTTTAATTCTTCATTTACATTATTTCCCCCTCCTCCTCTCTCCCCTTCTTCCTAATCATTTTTCTTTTTTCTTTCTATAAAATGGACAATTATAGTTTGTTTTACTACTTTCAAAGATAAATCTCAGATACACTGAATATACTGATAATTTTCATCAAAAAATAAATATGTAATCATTTCAGGCAATTCTGCTCTTTATTACATTCAAGTATTTTAATTAACACTGTATTAATAACCTGAGTTAGGTGGGATTATTGTGGGATCACTACACTCTTGTGATCTGTAAGCTGTTCCTTCACATATCCATCTATGTTGGTACTCTAGCCATGCGACTCAGTTGACTATACTTGTATATCATCCAAGGCTATTAGTATTCTATTCCTAATGAATTATCATAATATAATTTGCACACTATTACTAAATTATATTACTTTGCAGTTAAGCAAATGGTGCTTTGGGTGCAACAAAAAAAGATGTTAAATATACTTTAAACTTTGCTATTTCAAGGAAGGCCAATGTAATAAAAAAAGGATAATAAGTGGACTAAAGGCCAAGTAATAGTCATTATGTATAAAGAAAAGGAATAAAGACCACAATATAGAGGACAGTTGAAGGTTTTGTATGATCTATAATAAGATAGCATACATAAATATAGTGTGCATATATATTTAGTATATACTTGCTATGAACTGAATATTTGCGTTCCCCCAAAATTCATATTGAAGCCTAAATTGCCAATGTGATGTTATTTGGAGGTGAGTTCTTTGAAATGTGATGAGTTCATGAGACTAGAGCCCTCATCATGGGATTGGTGACTTATAGGGAGAGACAAGAGAACTTTCTTTCTTTCTCTGCTGCCCTCTCAGCTTTGTCAAAATACAAGGGGAAGATGGCTGTTTGCAAACCAGAAACTATGGCCTCATCAGACACGAGATCTGCTGGCACCTTAATCTTGGACTTCCCAGCTCTGGAACTATGAGAAATCAATGCTTATTGTTTAAGCCACCCAATCTTTTGGTAACTTATTATAGCAGTCCAAACTGACTGAGATAGTACTCTTGACCACTTGTTGGTCAAGAACCTTACAAAAGTGTTGGTGATGATGTGGAGAAAAGGTAGTATTGTAAATTAGTACCGTATGAAGTTTCTCAAAAAACTAATAATAGAATTACAATATGATCCAGCAACCCTATACTGAATATATGCCCAGGGGAATTGCAATCAGTATGCCAAGGAAGTGTCTGCATTCTCATGTTTACTGCAGCACTATTCAAAATAGTCAACATATGAAAACAACCCAAGTATCCATCAATATGTAGATTTTTAAAAATGTGCTATATATACATAATGCAATAAAATTCAGCTTTAGAAAAACAGAACATATTGTCATTTGTGACAACATGGATGAACCTAGAAGACATAGGTAAAGTGAGATAAGCCAGAGACAGAGACAAATATCATATGGTCTCATTTATATCTGGAATCTAAAGACGTCAAACTCATGGAAGTATTGAGTAGAATGGTGGTTACCAGGGGCTGCAGTGTGGGGTTGGATGGTAAAAGGGGAAATATTGGTCAGTGGGTGCAGTGATACAGTAAGATTGGAGGAATAAGTTCTGGTGTTCTATTGCATGGCGTGGTGACTATAGTTAATGATAGTGGATTGTACATTCAAAATAGGGATTTTAAATATCATCATTACAAAGAGCTCATAAATATTTGAAGAGATGGATATACTATACTACTTACCTGATTTGGTCATTCTGCAATGTATACATATTTCAAAACATCACATTGTACCTCATAATATATAAAATTATTATTTGACAACTAAAAATAAAATTATACTAAAAGGGGCCGGGCACAGTGGCTTACGCCTGTAATCCCAGCACTTTGGGAGGCCGAGGCGGGTGGATCACCTCAGATCAGGAGTTCAAGACCAGCCTGGCCAACGTGGCGAGACCCTGTCTCTGCTAAAAACACACACACAAAAAAAATATATTAGCTGGGCGTGGTGGCAGGAGCCTGTAGTCCCAGCTACTTGAGAGGCTGAGGCAGGAAAATCGCTTGAACCCAGGAGGCGGGGATTGCAGTGAGCCAAGATGGTGAGCCACCGCACTCCAGCCTGGGTGACAGGGTGAGACTCTGTCTCAATAAATAAATAAATAAAATTATACCAAAAAAAACAAAATGTCAGACTTAAGTTTTCTCTAATCTATTGGTTTCTTCTTTACTGATAATCTGTTTTCCCTTAAGTTCTTCATATGTGAACATCTGTTTTTGTTTTTTGTTTTTTGTTTTTTGTTTTGAGACAGAGTCTCATTCTGTCACCCAGGCTGGAGTGCAATGGCGTGATCTCGGCTTACTGCAACCTTTACCACCCTGGTTCAAGCAATTCCCCTGCCTAAGCCTCCCAAGTAGCTGGGACTACAGGCACACGCCACCACACCCAGCTAATTTTTTTGTATTTTTAGTAGAGACAGGGTTTCACCATGTTGGCCAACTGGTCTCTAACTCCTGACCTCAGGCAATCTGCCTGCCTCGGCCTCCCAAAGTGCTGGGATTACAGGCGTAAGCCACCACACCCGGCCATAAGTGAACATCTTACACAGTATGAAGCATTATGACATTACTGTTTTAAAGATGCAGGTAAATCTGACTGTTGCCTTCTTGTTGACTTTTAAGTATTATGCCTCAAATAGAAAACTATACACAATCATATAAAATACCATATTTTCTCCATGCACAGGCAGTCTGAATGATAGAGAATGAAACTTCAATTTAATGAGCATGCTGTTTTAGACTCTTGGAGAAGTTGACATTTCATTGAAAAATAAATTTAATTTAATTTAATTTATTACAATTTTTAAAACCCTCAGGATTATGCAATCCTAAGACATAACATTGTAGTGAAAGTTTTTGTTTTGTTTTATACAAAATTTCCAAGCATTTGAAATCTATTTATTAAAACAAGTAACTAAAATCATGGTAAGTGTGGTAAGATGTAACAGTACTAAACAAATGTAAAAATACATAGTACTTTTTTAATTTAAGCAGAGCTTTAGTAAACATGATTTTTAATTTTGTATATTGAAAAGACAGCCATGTTGCTTATTTTTTCTTCTGAAGTTTTAAAAACAATTCTTCTTTTCCAACAGCAAATAGCCACATCTCCTATTTTTGGGAAAAAAGGTTTATCATTCCATTGTTTTCAATGTACTCTTTCATGTCTGGAGTTGTATTTTTGGCATTTCACAGCCTGTAAATCAAAATCCTTAAGGGAATACTGCCATCCCAGCCTAGGGAAGTGATGTGGAGTGCCCTGAAGTTCACTGAAGGGGTATATTCTCCTAAGCTCTGCATTTGCAGTTTGCTGTGTCATCAATCTTGTTCAGCTGAATAGCACGACAATTTGTCTGGTCAACACTACATAAAGGATAGCAAAAGGTTATTGTTAGGTTATGAAGTTTTTCTGACAAGTACAATACGCCAAGGTTTATAAAAGTGTAAAACAAACCTTAAACTCAAGAATTGCTTTGTAAAGGAGTCTTTTACCTCTGTTTTACAGAGAAATTTTGAAATCTCATCTTCTCAGGGATGCAGTTTGAAACAGCAGATGCATGCTTTTCTCTTTCATAAAGTCCTGTAACCCAATTTTCTTGGAGTAGGGGTTACAAGAGAGATGAATGTCAACATCAGTTTCAAGGGCACAAGAAGATGGTCCCAATTTTCTCAGTGGTAAAGACAACACAATTCAACCAACTGGAATTTGTTGTATTTGGCAGATCTTGCTAACCAGAGGAATTGATTTTTACAATGATGCATAAGTCACTTTTTGCTGATAAATGGAACCATGTTGAAAAACTGGCAATCCATATATTTATTAGTTTCAAAAATCTCTTTATATTGTTCATAAAATAAAGTGACAATTATGAAATAAATTTATATCAAAAGGTTGATAAAGCCTTAGTACTTTTATCCTACATTTTAATCTGTAAATATTTCTAAAATTCTCCTAAAATATTTACCTTTTTCAGAAGGTAGAACAAAGACAGAAATGCGAACTTGTCAGGTGTGTAAAAATATGTTGGGATATCAAATACTCATGCCCGTAGTTGAGAAAACCCAACATATGTACAATGTTTTTATAAATTTACTATCTTTAATCACAATATACAATATTTAGTTATTCTTGCTTTCACAATATGGTCTGCCTTTTTTTTTTTGGGAATCTATTCAAAGACATTCATTTATTTTAATGCCTACTGATGTCTTTTATTTTAAAAGACATGATTAAAAGAATAACCAAGCTTGCCATTTCATTACAAGGTTTACATTGATTTTTGTATTACATTTTATTGCCATCTCAATTCATGAAGATAAAAACAAATAGACAAAGACAATCTAATGTAGTTACTTTTAGTATTCAAGGTCAATCATCTGAAAAATCTAAATATTCCACCCCCACCCCAAACACACCCAAAATGAGACTCCTTTAACACAAATTCTGATGCACAAGTTAAAATGTACATATTATATAACACTATATACCTGATATGTGTTATTAGCAATATGTAATAAATGTACATTGTATAACACATATAAAACAACATGGAAAAATAAATTTTGTTCATGTTTTGAGCTTTTAATAAGACTAAAGTTTTAGATATTTTTATTTATTTTTATAGATTTAAGGGGTACAAGTGAAGTTACATAGATATATTGCCCAGTGGTCAAGTCTGGGCTTTTATTTTAACTATCACACAGATAGTATCCATTTTACTCAATAGCTAATTTGGCATACCTCATCCTGCTCCTGAATTCCCTAGATTGTTTTTTAATTCCACATAAAGAATAGAAGAAGAAAGAAGTTTCAGATTTTTTTTGAAATACTCAATTATTTTTATCTGTGAACATGGCATGTTTATAAGGTCAAAATTTTACTATAAAATGAAAAGTAGTTTTTCCCACTGTAATCACAACCTAAATTATCATCAACACAGGGGAATTTTGCATTAGAAAATGCACAGACCTTGTATGCAGAAACAGGACTGAGCTCTATTTTTACTGTCCCACCTTGAATCTTATACAAACACTTAGCCTTCTCCTCGCATGAAAAATAAATTTTGAAAACTATGTTCTAGTGTTCTTTTACTTTTTAATTTTCTTTTTTGACGTAAAATGCTTAGGTCCTATCTCATGGCCATATTCTGTCAACACAGAGCTGAACAACTCTTCAGGTTTTTTTGTTTGTTTGTTTGTTTGTTTTGAGGCAGAGTCTATCTCTATCAGCAGGCTGGAGTGCAGTGGCGCAATCTCGGCTCACTGCAAGTTTCATCTCCTCGGTTTGAGCTATTATCCTGTCTCAGCCTCCCAAGTAGCTGGGGCTACAGCCACACAGCATAATGCCCAGCTTATTTTTGTATTTTTAGTAGAGACGGGGTTTCACCATGTTGGCCAGGACGGTCTCGATCTCCTGACCTCGTGATCCACCCGCCTCAGACTACCAGAGTGCTGGGATTACAGGTGTGATCCACTGCGTCCAGCCAACTCTTCAGGATTTAAGATTACTTCCATTCAGTGATGTCCAAGGACCCAAAGAGTTATTGGGAAATCTGTTACATATAAGTCTTCTTGGTTTGACCCACATACATCCGAAGTCACAATCCAGACGGGCCTAAAGAGGTGCAAAGTCAGTGGTTATGCACTCTCTGTGGATGTTACAAATGATTTATTTTTCTTCAGTGTATTTTCCATCTAATTTCTCATCACAGAGAAACTGAATCTGCATAGGTTTCAGATACTGAATCTATCATAGACAATAATATAGGTATTTAATTCTTTTATCCCAAGTTAAACGACTAATACAGTTAATATATATTAAAGTAATACATTTTCTAAGGGATTTACATGGATAATAACTGTGGCTTTGCCATTTTAATGCCCAAAGAACTCTAGCCTTCAGAATACTTGACTGTAGAAATTGTACATAAAATCTATAGGAAATTAACAACCTTAATGATGCAAAAAAAAAAACCCCAAACTATTGTATTAAAAGTACTTAAGCATTCTTATGTGGTGGTGAGATTCTGATTGTAAGGTCATTCATATTTCTACTTCATTTTGAAAACACGCATGTAATGATCATGTACTGTCCAAAGAGAAATGAAAGGATTTGCATGTTCATTGGTACTTATTCTGCAGGTCTCTCTGGTCATTGAAAATCTATTTTAAAGGCAGATATATTTTTGATCTGTTAATTTGGAATGTTACTTCCTTCCTTGACTTTACAAGGGTATTTAGACATTTTATTTAGCTATTTTATACCAGAAGTCCAAAACAGTAATTTGCAAATCTATACACATTATTTTCAAGTAGTCAATAGTGAGCTAAATCAGTTTAAAAACTATATTGTGTATAAGTGCCATCCCGAACTGTTAAACAATAAAAAATGAAAGCACTCAAAATTAAATGCAAGAGACAAGGCATATGATAATCATACACACAGAAGAACTTAGATATTACGGTAACAGGCATTCAAAATGAATGAGCCATATTTCCAGCAGTATATCTGTCTATATGTGTATAATTGTCACTATTATTATCATTATTATACTTTATCCACTACTGAAAAAGAGAGCCTAATAAACTTATAGCCAGTTATCATAAGCTGTCTTAATACAAATTGCTACAATTTAAAAAATGCTGTAGTATTTGTGGAAAGGTTTATGTGTAAGACAATTTCTGATTACGTAAAGAAAAATTCAGCCCAACATCAATGGTCATTTCAAAAACTAGGACCTTCAAAAGGATTTTCAAACTAAGATAAATTAATTGGTTTTACAGGAGGTAATAGCTCTGCAATATAAATGGTAGGACTTCCCAGACATCCACCAAATCTCAGAAATTCCATAGGCATATCAATAATCCTGAAAGTATTGAAATAACTGAGTTTATCTATACTATTATTTCTTTCTCACAGTATTTTCCTTTTTAGTCATCTTTTTAAAATTTTCTTATTTTCCTTGTTGCCCTTCATTTTTTTCTTCCTTTTAATCTATTTGCAATAAATACTGTGTATTAGAAGGATATTTACTGAGACACAATGCCAGTAGTACTGTCTCAAATATAAGTAGCTTATGCTTTGATGTACCGGCCTCTCTCTATTCTGGATATACCTCTGCAGAATATAAAATATATGAAACATATCGCAATCTTATGTTTTGTCAAGGAATATTAAGTAAACATCCCATTACTAAGCACAATTTCACTGGCCCAGTACCAACATAACCAAATTTCCCTTATTCAACAGAAAAAAATTCTGGTTCAAAATGCAGTGAAACATTCTACTGGACTTGAATGCACTCAAGGGGCAGTAACTGCAAAATAAAATTCATTTGAGAACTTTATTGGTAGGCATAGTAAGGTAAGGTACTGCAGCTCCACCCACTAACCCCCACAATGGAAAAAGAAAAGAGCAATGAAACAAAAGAGAGAGAGAGGGAGAATTACTTTCAGAGAAAAAAATAAGAAATAACAGATCAGATCACAAATTAGGTTTTGCAATTAGCAAAATTTGAAAATGATACTCTCATCTTAGTTTCCTCAAGTTTTAGATGACTGTGAGTGTAAATTTGATGTGGGGATAGATTTTTAAAGAACTGTTCTGAAGTTGACAACTACTGATTCTAAAGTTTTTTTTATGTACATGTTTTCTAATAGTCTCAATAATGAGAAAAACACTAAGAAATATGTTTAAGAGCTAATGACCCTATTTCTGTTATCCTCATATTAACAAAATGTAAACATCATTTCCTGATTCATCATCTGTAAAACAAGCAACTAAATGATCTCTAATGTGTTTTCAACCATAACAATATACGTATATATGAAAATACATTCAATCCTTTCTCCAATTTTTCATGGGAATATGTATTTCTGTAAAAATACTAAGTAAAATTAATTTTAATAATCATAGATTAATTTGTCAAAGTTCCAGTTTACCATAGGAAATGATACCATTTGCTATTCTAAAAATATTTTGAATATTTTTAGAATATTCTAAAAATATTCTAAAAATTATCTGGAGTGACAGATATTTCCAAAGCTGCTGTGAACTGTTCATTGCACGTGCACTCCACCTTTAGGATAGAACTTGCAGGGGATATTTCTTTTTTGTTAAATATGATTGATTTGTTTTAAAATATCACTTCTCCAGATTTATAGCATCACCTCCCCTCTTCTGAACGTTTCTCAGACCTCTGTGTTCTTGTGAAGTCCATTTCAGTTGTTACTACAATGAAAACACAGTCACAAGGAGTATCTCAAAGGTGTGAATTTTTAATCTTCAATCTCATTAAAGTTTCATGCAGTTACCTCCCATGGTACCCTCAATGGAACTGAATTTATCAAGAAACTTTAATCCCAGATACCTGGTAGAGTGGAATAATCCTCTTTTAGTTGGGCAAAAGAAACACAAGAAGAGAAATTCTTGGAGTGGATCATTTAATGTGGCAGAGAAGGTTTCCTTTTCCTGCAGATGGTTCCTGATATTTACATCTCAACTCAATTTTTAGTTACTGTGTAGTTTTCCTTGAGAATCTTTTTGCTGCTAATTCCTCCACTTCATAATGGGATCTAAGATGGAATATAGTACTTGTTGAGGCAAAAGAATGATGGAGAAACAGTTGTGAGAATTTTAACCTGGTATTTTCCAAATTAAGTATCCTGTGTTAGTTTTGTTAAAAATCCCAATGTTAGTAATAACGAGATATATATTAGGTGGTAATTTATTTTGTAAGAAAACTCTCACCAAAGGTGTAGGTCTCCAAGTTACACAATGGCTTCTCTTTAGCTTACAATAAAGGAAAATTCATCTAAACTCTAAGAGAGGGTAGAAATGTAGATCTGAGCTGTTTAGAAGTGTGTTTTACAAGATAGCACTTGGTATGTCAAAAGGTTACTGTTTAGAAGGGAAACATATTTCAAAGAAATTTATGGCACAAGTATGCAATTTACAAAATCAGTTTACAATGCTTGAATTTTCCAAATTGTTCACAAATATTACAAGAATAAAGTAGGATATTTTATTCTTTTATAGTTTAACTATTGTTTAATAACTATCAATAGCTCAAATTTTTAACTTAATATTAATAAACAATAGTATGTTATATTTTATCATAATTCATACATTTGTAATAATTAAATAAAAATCTCAATTTAATCATGTAGCTGTCCCTTCAGAATTAAAGAATTCTGAAGTATAAGTAAATAACTCCAGTAGCCTGTGCACATTTCTTTGTGGTTGTACCAACATGCACTAAATGACATGAAGACTAGAAAATGGGAAGGGCAGATGTAATCACTTTTGGAAGTGAGTGCCCTGTGTTTAGCTTGTGTCATTTTAACATATCTCTTTTCCTTGTTTGGGGGGAGTTTAGCACTCTCAAACACCCTAAAGAAGGATATAGCATCACATTTCTTGGAAATTAAATCTTTAGCTAAGTCTTGACAGGATCTTCAATACTGTTTCAGTGGCAACCGAGAAAAAAAATACACTGATGCACAAAACATAAAGATATTTTCCAAATCTTAAATGCCAGTGTATCTGTAGCTTCTCATTGTTTCTTAAAGGGCAAATTTTATCTGCTACATTAGATGAGTTAGGTTAGTGATTTGCACCTTAATTTCAAATCTCAGTTTCATTTTGGATATGTTTTCATAGCCTCAAGAAATTATTACACATTTATCTTCTAGAAGAATCAGGCTAAATACGTTCATTAAATTTTTTCACCTCAGATTTTAGGAAAATGGTAGGAAATATTTCTAAAATAGCATTGCATTAGCCAATGAGTGGTGTTTTTATTAGAAGTTAGCATTAACTGCTAGCCCAATAATTGAAGAATCACTTTCTGTTGAGTCATAATTGTTATTTGTTTCTATATGTTCTAGTTATATCTCTTCTACAATATTAAATTTTAAATTTTAGAGAAGTTTATCTAGGAGTAAATGAAAGTACAGTGTTAAGGTAGCTTATAGCTTATTGCTTAATGTTTACATTTGTTCTCTGCAAATTATTCATTCTGCTGAATTGTTTGCATCTCCTGATGGAACAAGGACTCAGGCACCCATCTGCAAAACATTGGTGCAATCCTTTACTTCTCCCTCTCCTTCACATCAAATAATTTGGCAATAGCACCCCATTAATTGTTTGCCCATTTCTTCGGCACTCATTCTTTCAATTTATTTTCCCTAATACCGCTCTGGTTAAGAATCACATTCAATCTCCATCTGCAGTTACCAGTTGGAGACAAACATACCTCTAAAAATAAAGAGTATGTGTATACCCCAAATCATTTAATAACACAAACATTACCCTGAACCAAAAGCAGACAATAATCTTACCAAAAAAACCCTTTATTAGCACAAATATAAAAATTTAACCGATTTTTGAACCAACCAAGACCTCTTCCAATAAGTAAACAAATAAATAAACAGTGATACAGCTATACAATGGAATATTATTCAGTGCTAAAAAGAAATAAATTATCAAGCCATAAAAAGACATAAAGGAATCACAAATGAATATTACCAAGTGAAATAAGCCAATCTGTGTTTCAACTATATAGCTTTTGGGAAAAGGCAAAACTATGGATACAGTAAAAACATCAGTAGTTGCCACTAGTTGAGGAACAAACAGTGGGAAAGGATAAACAGGTAGAGCACAGAAAATTTCTAGGGCAGTGAGAAGACTTTGCATGATACTACAATGGCCAGTACACATCATTGTATCTCTGCCCACACCCATAGACTGTACAACACTGAGAATGAACCCTAAACTATGGACTTTGGGTGATAATTATAGGTGCCGTGATCATTTCGGTGTCAATATAGGATTATCAGTTATAACAATTGTACCACTGCTGAGGGACATTAATAATGGGAGAGGCTGTGTATATGTAAGGGAAGAGGTATATGGGCAATCTCTGTACCTTTCTCTGAATTTTGCCGTGAACCTAAAACTGCTCTAAAAAATAAAATCTTTTAAAAATTCTAAAAATGGCTGGGCGCAGTGGCTCACGTCTGTAATCCCAGCACTTTTGGAGGCTGAGGTGGGCAGATCATGAGGTCAAGAGATAAAGACCATCCGGGCCAACATGGTGAAACTCCGTCTCTACTAAAAATACAAAAAGTAGCTGGGCGTGGTGGCAGGTGCCTGTAGTCCCAGCTACTCGGGAGGCTGAGGCAGGAGACTCGCTTGAACCCGGGAGGTGGAGGTTGCAGTGAGCTGAGATGGTGCTATTGCACTCCAGCCTGGGCGACAGAGTGAGACTCCGTCTCAAATAAATAAATAAATAAATAAAAATAATAAAAAAAAGAGGGCAATGCAGTAGAGAGTGACTAGAAAAAGTAAAATACTTTGCATAAACTGACCAAGAAGCCTTTCTGAGAATGGGACACATAGCCTCAGGCTTGAGAAGAAGCTACTTATGGCAAAAAGCCTCAGAAATGGCAGCCCAGATAGAAAGCATAGCAAGTACCAAGGTCTTGTGTTGGGAGCAAGTGGGGGCATATTTATATAAATTTCTATTTATATAAATATAAGGATTCTCATTCCTTGTTTTTGAATGACAACCAACATAAAAATGAACCCTAGCATCAGGAAGGTTTTAAAACACTGCTGAACAATAATGTGACTGGAAAAAGAAGGGAAAACTCCTTTTTTTCCCCCATTCACTGGCTCATAAGCTTCTGTTTAATGTTAGAGTTGAGGTGAATTAGAAGGGCAAAAAAATTTCAGCGTGACGTCCTGAGACTGAACTAATTAGGGTGATAAAATGATTTTAGTAAATTTGTTTTTATTTTCTCATTATCATGTTTATGACCAAGTTACTGATCCAATCAATAACCTAATACTTCTAATGATTATTTGAATAACAAATATAATCCATATGTGGCCTGGATATTCTAATTGTTTTAATGATGTGCTCTATCCAAAAATACCTGAATTTTGATTGGGAGATAATTTGGTTATCAACAACTGGATAAGCAAGTCACAGATATTTCACCAACTCTATTTTATCTTTGATATTAAATATTTAAAATATTTTGGTATTCTTTATTATCCTTATTTTAATTGTTAAATATAAACATATTGAAAACTTACATAAAGTTATAAAACTTGTAGAGATAACAACCAAGTATCATTTCTCAGAAAATAGTACTATTACCATTATTCCAGATTTCCTTTCTTTTGAAGAAAAAATAATTATAGACAAAGCCAAACCCTACTCCCATATACCCTATGTTCACCAGTTTCCTGGCCATTTTCCTCAGGAGACACCATTATCCTAAAGTTGTATTTAGCATTTTGAGGATGTTTTTATATTTTTAGCACATATTTTGAACCCAAAACCAATGATGTAGTATTGTTTCTGTTCTTTATTTCATTGTCTTTACCTTTTTCTGTATAGTCTTCAGTCTTTCCACTTGTAATATCTGTGCGATATTGTACATGACCCATCATGTATGATTAAACATTTATACAAAGTTTTCTGTAAAGAACAATGCCTCAAAGAGCCACGTTCTTTAGAGATGACAGCATTGCTTTAATTTCATGGCAGCTTTTCTCATTTAGCTTATTTTATTCAATAAATGTTCCAAGTGAATGGAAGGAAGAACTTAGTGTAGAGTCCACGTTGAAAGTGTGTATTGGGACAGGGGTTTATAAATTGTAATAAAAGGTAAACGAGATAAACAAAAGGAAAGGGACAAGGCTGCTATGTTATTAGGGTCACAATAGGTCACAATATAGCCCTAGAAATAAACTCATCATTTATTTTCTTAAGTTTCAAACCCTGGCACGAAACTAGAATAAACTATAACAACAGAAAAGAATAGAAAAAAAATTCTTGCCAAAATAATGTCTAACATCTGCATTTCATTTCTTCTTTCCTTAGGAATGAACTACCTAATATATACAGAGACCTATATAATGGTGAAATATGGGAATGTTCATCGTTAGTGAGCAATGCTTCTTTAATTTACAGTTGGGTTAAAAATTAATTAGTCCATAATCACTGGAAGACTTTCATTTAATTAAAATCAACTAATGGCCTGGTAGCTTTGCTACAGTACACTGTGAGTCTGAATTCGTAATTAGTTTGAGATTGGAAACAAGTAGATAGTATTAATACATTAGCAACTTTATTTGGGTGAGAGCTAGCAGTGATTATGTGAGTCATACAATAAAGGCCACAATAGGTATGTTTCTAATGTATTATGACATATGGATGGTGTTAGAGGATTGTTTTTGGTGGTGAGATGTTTCCTTCTATTTCTGTGGCATCTTTTTAATGATGCCTCAAAACACAACACATGAGCGCATACAGCAAAAGACCAAATAATCAGAGGAAGTCTAAAATAAACTGAAAGCATCTAGTATGAATTCAGATATTTAGTTAGATATAGCATTGCTTCTTTTTTCTTTAATGAACTAAAAAACTGGTCTAAAATACTACAGTCTGCTCTCAGAATCCACAGTGGTTTGCTTCCAGGATCCTGTAGAGATACCAATATACTCAACGCTCAAGTCACTGATATAAAATGGCAAAGTATTTGCATATAAACCACATACATCCTTCCCTACATGTTAAATAATCTCTGGCTTATTGGTGATACCTAATACAATGTAAATACTAGGTAAATATTTATTATAGTGATTTTTTTATTTGTATTATTTTTTACTGTTGTTTTTTTTTCCAATATATATTTATCAGTGGTTGGTTGAATCTTTGGATGAGGAATCCATGGATATGGAGGGCTGGATGTATTTACATGTTACTAGAGGAGCTTCTCAATATAAATTTAGCCCATTTTCTAAGGGCCAATGTTGGTATAACCCACTGTAAAAAAATAAATTTATTTGGATAGTGTCAGAATTTTTAATAGTATTCCATATTTGACTATTAATATTGTCATAATTTCTTGCCCCAGTCAGAAAACTTTTGCTGAGGATCTTCAATATTATCCTTTTTCTCACTTGCCAGGCTTAAGTCTATATACCTACTTTTTCTTACTGTGGCTTTTAAAGAAAAAAAGTATGAAAAATTTATTATTATATTTGTTCACTGGACATGCTGTGGAAAAGAAAACAAAATTGGATACTTTAAATTTACATTTCATCAAAGAATGTTTTCTCATATTCTCTGGAGACTTTGAATTTTACCAGCCACCTTAATGGTAGTCCTTTGAAAGTAACCTTCTCTAGGTAGATATGATTATTTTGAGTTTGTGTCAAGTCATATTCCCAAAAAAGAAGTTGACATGCTAAGCTATGAGTGATAATACGACCTTGAATAAAGTAATAAATGCACTTAAATTTGCATCCCAAATATGTTTTATTGAGATTATTAGGTAATTCTAAAGTGTAGCGTTTTTCTGGTATCAAGATCAGTAGGTCTCAAATGACACTGCATCAGAATCACTGGGGATGGTGGGAGAGAGTGGAAGCAGGGATAGTGGAGCTCTACATTTTCAAAGTTTTCTTCGTGTGTTTCAGATACAGGGTCACCAGAGAAATTTATAATGATGCATGGCTCAAGCAAAATTAGAGTTGATGTTCCAGCTTGGCTTTTCTGAAGTTATTCTCTGTTGATGTAGTTTTTGTTACTTGATCTATCATAGTCTTATTTGGAATATGAGTTTTTCATCAGTAATCATCATACTTTTTACATTTTTTATTAAAAATACATATCTCTAATTTGAAAATGTCATCAATAAAAATAGTCCCATCTTAAAGTTGCCTTTCATTAATCTTTCGTAGTTATTTAGATATATTTAGCAAAATATAAACTTATGTTAAACACTGTGAGGATTGCCTTTATGATATTAAATAGGCTCTTTTTAAAGATTCAGGAAATACAGATGGTCCCCAACCTATGATGGTTGGATTTAGGATTTTTTGACTTTATGACAGTGCAAAAGGGAAACACATTAAGTAAAAATTTTTCTTTGATACCTATACAAATATTTTATTTTTCACCTTCAGTACAGCATTTAATAAATTACATGAAATAGTCATCACTTTATTATAAAATAGGCTTTGAGTTTGATGATTTTGCCCAAACGTAGGCAAATGTAAGTGTTCTGGGCATTTTTACAGTAAGTTAGAGTAAGCTACAATGTTCTGTAGGTTAGGTGTATTAAACGCATTTTCAACTTAGATGCTTTCAACTTAAAATGGGTTTATTGGGGAATAACTTCATTATAAGTTGAAGTGAAGCCGTGTTATAATATTTAATGAATTTCTATTACCCTTCGCCTTTTTATTTAATAAAATTATAAGTGTCTAAACTACTGTATTCTCAGGATATTATGGGAAATCTACTTTTATATTACATAATTAAATTATTTAGAATATTAGTTTTGATATTGCTTTTAACATTTTAAGCCAAATCAATTGTATCTAATTAACATAAAACCTTTAAATGAAAGACGTCACAAATGACATTCCCCCAATAAGATTTTATAAGATACGTCACTTCCTCATTTTTTGATGAACAAAGATTCTCACGAGAGCCATTTTTTTAAACTTAACTTATAATAAGTAGAAAAAAATGGAAAAATTAATTCAAGAATTTAAAAAATATATCAATAAGTTTCCCTAACACTCTGATGAAAGCTGGGCAGTCATAAACCTGCAAGAAGAGAGAAAGCATCGTAGGGGTAGCTGGGACAATAAACTGTTATTTTAACAGTTTAGGAAAATTAATCACAAAGACCAAAAAATACAGAACTGGTGCATGAGAAACTTACTCCCAGTGATAAAGTTAATGTATATCAAACTTACTTATATAAACATATAAGAATAATATTTCTATTATATGTGGTCCTGTACTTTGTAGAGAATTTCATATCTTGCAAACATATTTTCAAGGGCATTATCTCAATTGTTTCACACAGCAGCCCAATGCAGTAAGCTGAGCATGTTCAGTGTCTTCACTGAAGACACTGTTCTGTTTAATACTGTTCTGTTTAACTTTCAATAGAAGTTCTGTTGAAAACCGAGAATCGGCGTTTAATTGGTAAGGTCACATATCTATAAACCTTCTGTGAAGCAAAAGAAGCAAGGCCTTCAGCTAAGCACCATGTCACCTATAGGTATCTGAAAAGTCCAACAACAAAACTTATAAACTCAGTCAAATACATTATCTGTAAACACACAAATAAAATCATACAGCAATTTTAAAATGAGATAAAATGTATTTCTAATCATAATAAAAGAAATTGGGGTTGTTGAAACACATCATTCCACAAAGAAGCTAACACTTGGCTTCCAAAACAGCCCCTGATTAAGAGCAAGAAACAAGAACCAAGATAAATCACAGTGACGAGCCATTTTATTTGCCAATTTTTCTTGATAAAGTCAATTCATCTTTTGCTCTTCAGTTTGTCTGTGTATAAAACAGGGAAAATGTCATCAGGCTTTTATGTTGCATCCTAAATCAAATAGCTAACTTTCAACCATGGTGTTTTCCATTTACAGAGCCCAGAGATTATTTGTCACTGCCATTTGATGTGCAGTGTGTTTGCTAAGACTTTAGAGAAAATTTTAACTGATAGCAGATTGTTTTTGTTTTCATAATAACACATTAAAGATACTCTTAAATTGTAAATATATTATTCCATTAATAGATAATTGTTCTGGAGTATAAAATATAACAAATTACAATACAACATAAGGAACAACACAAATAAATCATATGCATTCTTAAAACATGCTTTTAGTTCATTGTGAATATTTATTGATCTTATATAACTGTGTGCTGAACACTAAACTTACTGTTAAGTAGCAGTTGTTTCCCCGAGCACAATGGTGTCAAATTGTGAAGACAGACGAGTGTCCAGACAACATTTATTCAGTGCTTGTTTGGGGCTAGCTCCATGCTAGTTGTGGCAGATACAGTGAAAAGTATAAGGTTGGTACATTTATATCTAAAGATATTTAGGAATAGAATGTCTAGGTCTTGTTGAAAAAGGAACATTTAGTGTCTTGTTTAGTGTATGGCCTCAAGACAGTGCCTGGTACTCAGATTAACCAATATGATTTAAATGTTTGAAAGGCATCTTTGAATGGTCAAAGGGACTTTTCAGCTAAGGGGGATATTAAACAACTGATTACAATTTCTGAAGGTTGATTGCTTACTAGCAAAATGTGATGTTTGTCAATACCCAATGTGACTCAAGCAAATTTTTTTTCTACTGTGTGGACCAGGGTGCAATGTTGATTCTTTGGGATTGCTATGATACAAGATAATGGTAAATAAATGGGGATGCACATAAATAATGCATACACAGTGAAGACCTACAATTTCCCAAAACTGTTAATTCTTGAAATGCAGAGTTTATAAGATTCATAAAATCATTTATAATAAATTTATTTAATTTAATAAATTAAAAAGTATAGTACAGTGGCTTATAGTTTTATTTTTATTAGTGTTAAGGTACTGGGAATAATACTTTTCTGTGGTAATTGTATGGATATTTTATAAAATACTTCTCCATGAAATTTATAAGCTGATTCAATTATATCCTAGTGAAAAAATTCATAAATAAAAAAATCACAAGAAACTAATAATTGTTGAAAAATAGGCCAAAACATTTGATAGTCAAAAAGTATTTGATCAAAGACATAATTATTTTTATTTCTATAAGAAGCATATTGGTGTACCCCAGCCTGGGTGACAGACCAAGACTCTGTCTCAAAAAAAAAAAAAAAGAAAGAAAAAAGAAGCATATTGGACTAAATGCAATGTACATTATATTACATAAATATAAATTTAGAATGAGGTTTAAATGAAGAATAATTTACAACAATAAATTGAGAACATTTATTGCTTGTGCATTTCCTTCTGGAATGTTCTTAGCTATTATGTTATAGCTTGAAAAGGACTGACCTAAGCATTCAGTCCTAAATTTAATTTATTTAAAATAATTTTTGATGTGTAGATGTGTCTAACATTTCCTTTTGTATTCTAATTGTTTAAGATAATAGAAGAGCGATGCAAAACTTCTTTCTCTCTTTTGACAGTTGTTCCCAAGTCAGTAAAGGCTCATTTGGTTAATCTAGAAAAAAATCAGTGCCATCTCCATTAGCTTATAAGACAGTTCAGTAGAGAAATGTTCTCATGCTGGTTATCATGCATAATAAAATACCTTGATGAAGCAATCTGTTATCATCATCTATGAAGGTGAATACTGTACTATTGCTTTGAGTGTTTTCTAAGGCAGCACTCAGGATGCTGCTGTATTTGTTTTGGGTAGCAATTAAAGAGAACTGATTCCATCCAGCACTTTGGGAGGTCGAGGTGGGTGGATCACTTGAGGTCAGATGTTCAAGACCATCCGGGCCAACATGGTGAAACCCCATGTCTGCTAAAAATACAAGTAGCCCAGGCATGATGGCACATGCCTATAGTCCCAGTTACTCAGAAGTCTGAGGCAGGAGAATCATTGAACCTGGGAGACAGAGGTAGCAGTGAGCCAAGATTCTGCCACTGTACTCCAGCCTGAGTAACACAGCAAGACTGTCTCAATAATAATAATAATAATAATAATAATAATAATAATTCTGGGCTTAAAGATTAGTTTACTTTTCTCAAGTTGTATGATTTTAGGGTATTTACTGAGCCCCTCCAGGCCTGTTTTTCAAATGTGTAATATGGAAAATAACAATGCCTTCACCATTGTGTCATTGTGAGGATTAAATCAGTAAATCAGTGAACATTCAGTAATGCACTTAGGACAGTGTGTGACATGCAATGAGGGCCATGGAAGTGTTGATAATTGTCGTTGATTCCTGACCACTTCAAGGGCTAAGTCAGGACATGATCTCTAAGATGCTTTTCTGGAGTTCATATTAAACTAAAAGGAAAGAATAAATGGGACATTCACTTTCAAAGGTAGACTTTGTTTAACAGCCAGATGATTACTTATTAAAGCAATGCTATGGTTAATTTTTCACTTTGTAAGATGGATGTGGATAAGTCATTCCACTATTTTAACTGAATGCTAATATTTTTACCTATAGTCTTATTATTTGGCTTTAAATACAACCTTATATACATATTCTTTTTAACAATTTTAGTAATACAGGCAAATAATCCCACTATTGCCACTAATAAAGTGTGCTAATATTTGGCAAACATTTACTCAAATATTTTACTGCATGTACATCAAACAAGTTCATTTAAGAAGGCTACCTTTAAATCTAATTATTTATACATCTAAAATTAAAATAAATGAGCAGTCACAGCCACGACGTGTGTATGGAAGGTGGAATTGTTACTTTAATGCTTAATTTGGTCAATGTGTATTCAGTAAATATTCTGTAATTTTAAGTTGAAAGGAATTATACTTTGTGGATTTTAATAAAATTAATTATATTCATTTCTAATTGTGTTTATATGTATTTATTTTCATTATTTATTTCTAAATAATTTTTGTGGAGTTCTTAATATTTTTATGAAATTTACTAGTTTTTTATTTAAGGATTCGTTATAGGACTACTTTTATCCTACCTGAGAAATGGTATTGTGGGAGATATATAGGTAAATCTTTTCTAAAATTTTCAGAAGTAATTCTCCTTCACAGAGTGTATAAAACTTAATGAGAAACAAAATAATAAATTCAAACTGATCATATATAGTATATTTCTCAGAATTATTTGCGTGTATAAAATAGCCAAATAATTGCTTTCCTAAGTATTGAATCTCTGACAAATAGAAATCAGCTTTCTATTTTGAAGCATCTTTTTTTTTTCTTGCATCATGTTATCAGGACAAAATATCCTTTAGGAAAAATATCATTTGTGTCAATCATATAAAAAGCAGGTTTTCTAGAAAATTGTTGTTTTCTTTCAGAGCCATTTATTATATATTTTTAAATAGTATGATGAATAATATTTCGGTTGCCTTCACTTATATAGAATTGGGCACAGGTAGTTGAATGTAATTCTCTGTTTGATGCAAGTTTAAGTAGAATACTGTATTTTTATTTGCATTAAAAAGGACAATTTAATTTCAAATATAACATTATAATATTTTTTAAACTATTGCCTTCTACTAAATTATGTATGCTTGCCTACACGGGGCTCACATTTTTATCATGCATATTCATAATATTTTTCAATTTCAAAGTTAGTGTGAAAAATGTTATAGCACAAACAAGTAGATTTGTGTAACTAAACAATCATTATTTAAAGATACCAATCTGATCTTTATTTACATTCTTTTTTTTTCTTTTTTTGAGACAGAATCTCGCTTTGTCACCCAGGCTGGAGTGCAGTGGCGCAATCTTGGCTCACTGCAACCTCTGCCTCCTGGCTTCAAGCGATTCTCCTTCCTCAGCCTCCTGAGTAGCTGGTATACACACATGCCCTACCATGCTGGGCTGATTTTTGCATTTTTAGTAGAGACGGGGTTTCATCATGTTGGCTAGGCTGGTCCCGAACTCCTGACCTCAGGTGATCTGCCCACCTCGGCCTCCCAAGGTGCTGGGATTACAGGCATGAGTCACCACGCTCCGCCTATATTCTTTTAAATGTGATTTTTTGGTTCATGATATGAGTTCTAATAAGTTTTTTTTATTATATTTTAACTTGTGGGATATATGTGCAGAATGTGCACGTTTGTTACACAAGTATACACGTGCCATGGTGGTTTGCTACACCCATCAATCCACCATCTACATTAGGTATTTCTTCTAATGCTATCCCTCCCCTAGCCCCCCAGCCCCCGACAAGCCCCAGTGTGTGATGTTCCCCTCCCTGTGTCCATGTGTTCTCATTGCTCAACTCCCACTTATGAATGAGAACATGTGGTGTTTGGTTTTCTGTTCCTATGTTAGTTTACTGAAAATGATGGTTTCCAGCTACATCCATGTCCCTGCAAAGGACATAAACTCATTCTTTTTTATAGCTGCATAGTAATCCATGGTGTATATGTGTCACATTCTCTTTATCCAGTCTAATGGATATCCAGTCACTGATGGGCATTTTGGTTGGTTCCAAGTCTTTGCTATTGTGAACAGTGCTGCAATAAACATACGTGTGCATGTATCTTTATAGTAGAATGATTTATAATCTTTTGTGTATATGCCCAGTAATAAGATTATGGGTTCAAATGGTATTTCTGGTTCTAGATCCTTGAGGAATTGCCACACTGTCAAACCAATGAGAACAAAGACACAATGTAACAGAATCTCTGAGACAACTAAAGCAGTGTTTAGAGGGAAATTTATAGCACTAAATGCCCACAGGAGAAAGCAGGAAAGATCTAAAATTGATACCCTAACATCACAATTAAAAGAACTAGAGAGGCAAGGGCAAACAAATTCAAAGGATAGCACAAGACAAGAAATAACAGATCAGAGCAGAACTGAAGGAGGCAGAGACACGCAAAACCCTTCAAAAAATCCATGAATCCAGGAGCTGGTTTTTTAAAAAGATTAACAAAATAGACACACCGCTAGCCAGACTAATAAAGAAGAAAAGAGAGAAGAATCAAATAGACACAATAAAAAACGATAAAGGGGATATCACCACCAATCCCACAGAAATAAAAACTACCATCAGAGAATACTATAAACACTTCTACCCAAATAAACTGGAAAATCTAGAAGAAATGGATAAATTCCTGGACGCATACACCCTCCCAAGACTAAACCAGGAAGAAGTCAAATTCCTGAATAGATCAATAACAATCCCTGAATAGACCAATAACAAGTTCTGAAATTGAGGCAGTAATTAATAGCTTACCAACCAAAAAAAGCCCAGGACCAGACGGATTCACAGCCGAATTCTACCAGAATCCTGAAAATTTACTAGTTCCAACTGGGCCAGCTTAATAGTAATTAGAACTGCAACTGTCATCTAGGGTATATTAGTTGATGATACTGTAAACTGGAGTTTGCCATGTTATATTTTTCAGTTATACAAATAAGGTTGGTACCCTTATAAAAGCTAATGAGACAAACAAATTCACATCACAATTATTTACTTCTCTAAGATTTACTTTCCATTGCCTTGTAATGTATTCTTCACAGGTGTATTTTGATTTAATTTTTTGAGGTATGTTTGATTTTATACTATGATTCTTTGGCTAGGCTCGGAAACTTGAGTATAGTACTGTAGAATGATGTTACAGTAAGGGCAAAATATTTTAATCTCTACCTTCAATAGATGCAGCCTGAAGTTCAAAATTATATCAAGTAAGGCTCAATAATAACGTTCCCTGAGAAGGAAATTAAGTTTTTCCCTTCATTATGAGTCCCTTACCTGTGTCCAAAAAGTAAGGACTTTTTTTTCATTGTGGTCCAAATAAATTAACTGTGCTACTTAATCATTTTGAAATTCATCATTTATTGAATAGTAAAGTCGGGTATAATAGCTGTAAAGAAGTTCCTATTTCATTTAAGGTATGTCTTAAAAATAGTAACTGTGTGAACACTACTATGATGACTTGTATATTTGTTTCTTCCTTTTTTGTGCTTAAAGATAGTTCTAATACAATTCTAGAGTACTACTCGATGTGTACATTCATTTAGGAAAGAAAGATAAATCTCTGACATTTGACTAATAACTAAGGCAACTGTGTTATAAAAATTGACCAAGAGAAATTAGCGCCTAGGTCAATAGCTTTTTGATGAATTAAGGTAAGGTTTTGTTAAAAGATCATCTTTATTCTCTCAATAAAGTGGGCCAGAGGTGGAAATTGTATGTATCCTAATGACGGCTTTCTTTTTTGATAATGGTGAAAGGGTCTTTAACAATTAAAGGTAATGCATTATTTAAAAAGTAATATTGCTTAAGAATCTTAAAAGTTATTGCACACACATTTTAAGTAAATGTGGTTTCAGCACACCACATTCTCAGCATACACACCAAGTAGTCTTTATTTATTATTTAAAGAAAGCTAATAAAAGAATATTCTTTACCCAGAATTGCTGAAACAAATTAGAAAAAAAAGTGGTTAAGTTCCATCACCTTACAAGAGTAGAGTAGAAACTGCAGTTGACTTCTTTGCTTCTTTGCTTAGACCTAAGATGTCACCCTTAAATAAATGACAGCCATATTATGAAAAAGTAGTTCAGTGTGATAAATGCAATTTTAAAACTGTGATGAAGCAGAGAAGCTAAATTTCATGATAGCTATCTTTCTTCAGGGTTTTGTAACCCCAGTGCATGGAACAGTGTCAAGAATGTATTGAACAATCTAAATATCTTTAATTAATAATGAGTGAACAAATTATTAAGTTAATAAAGAGGATGTATATTTATCATATGAATTAATAATTTCAGTACAACAAAATCTGTCTAAATTGTATAACAAAATGGTTACATAGATTATTCACGATGGAAAATTCAAAATTCATACAGAAAAAAAGATTCAGGATATGAATATTTTCAAAGGTCAAAACTGACAGTTACTTCTTTTTTGAATTCCTGGGATTTTTATATGGCTCTGATTGTCATGATAGGGATTAATGAATGATGTATTCATAGTTATGATTTAATTGGCATGCTGAACAAATATTTATGTTGCGTTTATTGCCTGATTGACATAATTCTAAACACTGGGAATAGAGCTATTAACAAGACAAATTGTGCCTTTGTATTTATGAGATTGACTTTTTAATATTTACTTAGGGATGACATCTTAGATTTGTACAAATAAACAAAAAGTTAATTGTAGGTACTTTTATAGATTCTTCAAGAATATAGAACTCGGCCGGGCGTGGTGGCTCACACCTGTAATCTCAGCACTTTGGGAGGCCGAGACGGGCTGATCACCAGGTCAGGAGATCGAGACCATCCTGGCTATCACAGTGAAAACCCGTCTCCACTAAAAATACAAAAGAAATTAGCCGGGCGTGGTGGTGGGCGCCGGTAGTCCCAGCTACTCGGGAGACTGAGGCAGGAGAATGGCGTGAACCCGGGAGGTGGAGCTTGCAGTGAGCCGAGATCGCACCACCGCACTCCAGCCTGGGCGACAGTGAGACTTCGTCTCAAAAAAAAAAAAAAAAAAAAAAAGAGAATATAGAACTCAACTGCTCTATAGCTTTTTAGTTTGTCTCAGCAACTGTGGGTAGAAAATATTATTTTCTCAGCTTCCATCAAATGAGGACAAAGATCATTTGATATAACTTCTTAGAATTAATATCACATTTACATAGACAAAATGAACTGGAACCAATCCCTTTCCCTGCAAAAAAAAAAAAAAAAAAAAAAAAAACAAAAGAAAGAAAATAAAGAAAAATAATAAAAAAATAAAGTGAGAACATATAGAGGACAAAAAAGATTAAAAAACAAACAAACAAACAAAAAAAACAGCTTGTCCATTCCTGATTGTGAAAGTGCACTTTTTTTTTTTTTTGAAAATGTGGAACATACAGAAATCAAAAGGACTTGGCTGCGTGTGGTGGCTCATGCCTGTAATCCCAGCACTACGGGAGGCCAAGGCGGGTGGATCACCTGAAGTCAATAGTTCAAGACCAGCCTGACATTATGGTGAAATCCCGTCTCTACTAAAAATACAAAAATTAGCAAGGCATAGTGGTGGGCGCCTGTAGTTCCAGCTACTAGGGTGGTTGAGACAGGAGAATTGCTTGAACCTAGGAGGCAGAGGTTATAGTGAGCCAAGATGGTGCCACTGCACTCCAGCCTGGGTAACGGAGTGAGACTCAAATCTCACAAAAAAAAAAAAAAAAAAAAAAAAAAAAAGGAAACCAAAAGGACCCTAAAGTTAGACATAAACTGTGGATGCAAGCCCTATATAATGCTGGCAAAAAGCCAAATCTTTCTCCACAGACAGCAGTAGCTATTGCTCATAATGATCTTAGAACCAGATGCTTATACATGCCTGTTATTAATGTAAAGGACCTTCTGCTTCAAGGCAGGTGATAACAATGAAAATGTAAATGTTGACTTCAATATTTTCAAATTTCTTCAAAAAAATCCTCTATGCTAACTCAATAAGGGATGATTACACATAGTTCTCTAAGTTTACTTTATCCATTACTTTCAGTATAGGAACTACATCTCTGAAACAACAGTAGCTAAAAATAAAGCAGAGTTTCCTGAAAGCCAGTTGTTGGGTTAGTTTGTTTCCTTACTTTATAAATGCACACTTAGCCTGACTGTCTGAGCATGAGTGCAGAATACAAATACTTAGAGCAACTAAAATATATCATATGCTTTCCTGCTGTGGAAAGTTTCCAAGCATCTTTGCAGAACTCATCTCACTTGCCTATTGGCAAAAAACATCCTTTCTAGACATACTTTCTACTTGGCTTACACTTAAAAGCTGACTCCACAATAAAAACTATCCAACTGAAAGAATAGGTGTTTCAGAATTGAGGCTTTGAGAATTTAGAACTTAGTTTGCACGGCTGCCAAACTTAAACATGAGAATATTTCACAAGCGAAGAATATTTTTGCTTGAATTTATCTGTCAATAGCCTTGAACTGATCCCAAAAGGGATTTTATATTTCCAATTGATAATAGGTCAGAAATAGATCTTACATGAGTCTAAAAAGATTATACCCTCATATATTTTATAATAGTAATACATGTAAAATAAAATCATAACTTTATTAAGTTACAGGTAAAAAGAAAACAGAATAAGGAAAAAAAAATGACTACTTACTGTGTTGGTTGTCTTTCACAGAAATATAGATGATGATGTTGCAATGGAGGATGTTTTCAAACAGAGGTGTTATTACACAGCCCATTGCCAGAACTGCTATACCTGTGGCTTCTTACAAGGGAGCCTGTCTTTTCTCATCCTCTAACCTCAGTCTTAGATAGTCACATTTGTATCACCTGACTGCTCCATCTGGCCACAGAAGACTGGATTGAGCTAAATACCTGACTCAAAGCAGTCAGTCCATAGAATGATTAATAACATTTGAAAAAGCCATACTTTTGTAGAATGGGGATACATTTTTCCAAAGGGTCTAGGTAACTAAAAAATTGAGAGACAATGTGGTCATAGTAAATGTTATACCTGAGAAGATCCACAGGATCAGAGGTAGGTTAGGAAGGACCTAACTTTGAGCAAGTCAAAGCTAAGAATATACCCGAAGTAGATGGCAAAGGTGGTATAATGCAGCAGAAACTATAAGGGAGATGATAGCTATAAAATAGACGCTAAAGACCTTCAATTGGTAGAATGAAGAAACTGTAAGCCACAACCTCCTAATGCTGAAATTTCTCACAAGAGAATGCAATTTCCTTGGACCTAAATAATGTTTAGGTTTCTGAGACCTGCTTAAACATGCTATTGATCATCATGGTTTCAGTACAAAGGAAAAGGAAGAAAAGGTATAAGATAGAAAAAATACATTAAAAGATAATAATGGCACATGAATGTCATTCTGAGTTGACCACTTGAATCCTTTATCTAAGAAAATCCTTCTGACAAGTACTTTCATTCTTCCATTCAGCTCATGTTTTAAGCACTATCTAGTGGCACCCATTTATTAAACATATGCTATGTACCTTATATTTGGGGATGTAACATCCTGCCTTTATGGCACAGATTTTTAAAGAAAGATGTTGCACAATAAATAATGAGTATATGAAATATACAAATTGTACCGTATATATTCTAATTACAATTCTCTAGAAAAACAGCCCCTAATACGAAAAATTACCTACAGAAGATTTATTGATATGTCCCATTGGGATCACTTCCTTGGGGTTGGGGATAGGAAGGGAGAAGTAGGATTGGACAGAGAAAGGAGTTGAATTGCACCATAGTCTTAGCAAAGGGTTCCACAGGAACATTGGGGCTGGACTGTTTCTTGAGCATTGTCTCACCTTGAAGCTAGTACCTAAGCTCTTATTTTCTCCCCCTACCCATGTTGAGCAGAAGACTGGCATGGCTTGACTTACTTTAAAAGCATCACTTTTGTTGTGGTTTTGAGAATGAGGTGGGTGGAGAGGAGATGAAAGTGAAGAGTAGAAACCAAAATATTCATTTTGACAATCAGAGTTAAGGAGAGTTGATGTTGACATCCAGGTGAGAGATGGTGGTGATTTCAACTACATCTGTACCTTTGGATTTACAAGTGGTCAGCTTCTGTGTATATTTTGAAGGAAGGACTGATAAGATTCATTTTAGTGTTTGTGAGAAATAAGAAAAGGGAAGTGATTAAAGGTTGCCTCCAAGATACTCAGTCTGATTTACTGGAAAGATGTAGTTAGCATGAACTGAGATAGGGGAAAGCTGAGATGGGGAGAGTATTTTGGAAAAGAGATTAGAATGGTGGTGGGAGAGATTATCATCTAGATGGCATTTTAATCACTAGACTGGATCGACTCACTAAGAAATAAAAAAGAGAGAGGAACCTTAAAAGGAACCTAAAGAGTGACCTTTGTGTGTGTGTGTGTGTATGTATGCTATATATACTACATATATCATATATATATATCTATACTATATGTATATATGGACTGTATGATATATATTTATGTATCATATATATGGACACATTTATATGTATAAGATAGATAGATACCTTATTTTAAAAGCGTTTCAGAAATTTTGTGTTAACAATGTAAAAATATCTAAGTGGGTCTTAAACCCTGATCTGACGGATCACATAAACTTTCATAAGCCTTTTTTCTTAGAGATTTACATGCTTTCTAAAATTCACTCTTTTTAAATGTTAAAAAAAAAATAAACTGAGGAAAAAGAAAATTGTAGAGAGTTTATTTGAGGACAAACTGGCTTTGCCTGCTCAGGGATTCTTCAGGCCCAGGCTCCATTTCAGTGCACTTTAACAAGAGAAGGAGGAAACATCATATGTGATTGTTGAAGTATAAATTAGATACATGATTTTCCCCCAAGAGCAGTATCTTAGCTAGTGTGTATCTTTAAAACTGGTTATCTTCTTTATGACATTCTTTGGAGCAAATCAGACTTGTATTTCCTCATAGGTGATGGGAAACTTTTCTCTATTACTATTTTTTGTGAATTTTATACCTACCAAATAATACATTTAATAAGAGCTGTTACTGATATATTTTGATAGTGAGACATACTAATAAATTTATATACCAATCACCTCAATAGCTTTTTCTAGGATTTAGATATCAATAACACCTTCCCCTATTACCCCACTAATGGGTTTTGTAGAGGTTCTATAACTAAAGAAACAATTATAGACTCAGTCCATGAATACACGCACCCATGTTGCTATTGTTATTTATGTACCTTTTTTCTGATATAAATGAACTTCATTATATTTAGAACACTAAACAAAGACTATCGGTTGCACCCAAACCATTTTCTGCTAGTACCCATTACTGATAGTATGTCAACTGAAACCTCAATCTTCCCACCATTGAAACCTACCACCTTGGACTCCCATTAAGTCTGACTAGCAAAGAGATACCATCATTTAGCTCCTGATGGACAATTCATGTCTCATCCTGCACTACGGTCCTGACATGCCATGTCACTAAGGGTCCAGGTAAAACTTTGAAGTCAGGCAACCCCATCTCTACTTTCAATTCCTGTAGAACTTAGTTGCTATTCCAAATGTGAGACCATTTACAGTGTAATGCTCTCTCTGACTCAACCACTCAGAGATTTGGGCATGGCCCATGGACAAGTTTCCTTCATAGTTTAATTCATCTTTACATGAGGAATTATTATTACTGTGTGCATTATACAAAAATGTTACCCATTGTTAATGGCTCACCTAATGGAAAATCCATAAGTGAGAGAGGTATTTGTGCCCATGATGAAAGAGGGGGCCCAAATGCTAATATCTGGAATCTCTCATCTGTCCATGTACTTGTGCTTTCCCTTGTATTGGAGTGATGTTTCTCATCTTACACATCCCGTATGACATATATCGTGTTTACATTTTCTACTCTTGTGAAAAAGATGTTACTCATACATTTTTATTACTCCTGAATCTATTTCTCCAATAAGAATTATTTTCAACTTATGTATATTTCCAGTTACCATATAAATATATCTGTATCTAGATATAGACATCTTCAGCTTTAAATTATCATTCTCCATTTCTGCAAATCTATTCTTGGAATATCTTCTTTTGGTGACTAGCACAACTACCCACCCAGTTGTTTAAGTTTTAAATTGTGGTTCATTTTAGTTACAAACCTTCATGAATTATCTTTATTACTTAAATGTTAAAATATTTTGAAATAGTATAATGAACCCATGAAAATACATAAGAACTATGATTCTCATTTTTTCTTAGATACATTATTTTTATTTTATTTTAACATAGTAGAGTCATAACTCAGAAATTTATAATGGTCTTTATAAGTTGGGAAAATATAGTGGTAGAAATATTATAGAAGACTGTATCACAAAAACTGACTGCTATCATCACAATTACATTGAAGAACATCCACATACATGTAGTTTGTTTAACATTATGTCAGAAAAGATAGTGAGAGCTCAATAAATGAATGTGTGGATATTTCAGATTTAGAATTTTTAATGTATCACACAACTTTCCTTGTTCAAAAGCTAATTTATGCTTTAAGTTTCAAAATAGGATAGCAATTTTATTATTGTATGAGAAAAGGATTTTTATATCCTTCTAATGAATTATAAACACACTAGCCACGATTTTTAGTAAAATACGTTAATACATTTTGATCACAGATTTCTTTTTTGAACAACAAACAAGTGTGATAAAGCCAAAGTATCTTTTTATTACAATACTCCATTGCCTTTTTCTGACTCATGGTCTTAAAATTATGTAGATCACTGTAAATTGCAAGAGAGTGATCTCTAGAGAGCAAAAGACAAATAATAGCTTTCCCCATGATACTTCTATCAAAAAAAGAAAAAGAAAGACTTGATTTCTGAAGGCTAAATGCCAGGCTGTGTCCTGACATTCATAGGTTAAAAATAGAACTTTCTTGGTTAGAATCAGTAATTATTTTGTGTTATTTGGGTTAATAATGGACTGTAATTATTCTACTTGACTGACATTTTACACATATTCTACTTGAACTGCCTATGGCTAAGCATTAACCTTCTTATTGACCTTAGGAAAGAAATATAATAATCTGGTACAGTTTGCAATGTCTGTTATACATGGAAAAAATAGTCTGTCAGAATTAGGCAATATTTTGGATTGTAACATTTTAGCTCATAAAAGTATATAAATGTGTGTTTAATGACTCATTGAAAGCATTAAATGTACTAATTTACATTTCAAAAATAACTACAATGTGAGCTTAAACATTTGTAAACCATTGACTTCTAATCCTCTCCTAACACAGGATGATTGTAACTGTCCATTCAGAAATTCAGGGCATGTCTATAATTGGGAGAAACTGCCACTAATATTCTGCCTTCCTGCTTTGGAATCCATGCTCTTTGAGTTACAGTGGCATAAATGTCACATCTATTTGGCTACAGCATACCCAAATCAAATAGAGAGTAACTATTAGGCATTTTAAAAAACAAAATAATACATGAGAAAAAGACAAAATACAATAGAAACCTTTATTAGGAAATGCCCTTCAACCCTCAATTTGCCCAAAGGCAAAATTCTAATAATATGTGATCTATCCTGTGGCAGTCAGGAGGGTTACCCTCATATCTATAAGTATTAGATCACATACCACTTTTTTTTATTAACCAACTTTATTCATTATTTATTGACTTTCTGCTTTGAAAGGTGAGAATGTGGCTCATACTTTCATTTTTCCTCTATTTCACATTTTTAATCATTGTCACTATATCTTGTGTTTTCTCAGTTAAATTTCAACTTTGGTTAATATAATTAAGTTTGTTTTTCTTATTTCTAATGTTTTAACAGTATCTCTTCTTGGTCATCTTGTAATTTTAGCATGTTACTCATTCTGGCTTCCTGTCCAGTTCTCTTCTTCATTTCCATTTGGTAAGCTTTGAAGTCATAGCTTCCCTATTACAATGTCAATTTTGACAACATTTCTATCCTTTCTGGTCGCCATATTTAAGTTTTATGGATGGTTTATAGGGGTATACTTGAAATCCATTGAGATCCATTATTACGACTATTAAAATATTACCGTGAAGCCAAAGAATATACATGTGCTCTTTTTAGGTCAACATGGAATGCATTATTTTTGTTGTCACTTCATTGTGTTACTGTTTTTTAAACTTCATCAGTTACTCTAAAACTTGCTATATTGTAGTGTTTCTTGTATTTAACATTTTATGTACGTTTTAATATCAGGGGTACATGTGCATGTTTGTTATATAGGTAAACTCATGTCATGGGGGTTTGTTGTATAGATTATTTTGTTACCCAAGCATTAAGTCTAGTACCTATTAGTTATTTTTCCTGATCCTCTCCCTCCTCCCACTCTCCACCTTCTGGTAGGCTCCAGTGTCATGTATTTTTTTTTGTGTATGTGTTTTTTGTTGCTGTTGTTTTGTCTTGTTTTTTACTGTTCTTAGAGAATCCTATAAACTAGTGGTCGTTAGCTGCCTGACTTCCTGAGTTCCAGTACGCTCTTCTAGAATGTCCCTTTCTGTGGTATTTTGCAGCTGCCTTTTAGGTACATCTGTTATTTCTTTATATTTTATTAGCTGTTAGCCTCTTATACTCTACCATTTAGTAAATACATGTTAGTTGATGATTACCAGCTTATACTACAGCTACGATAAAAAAATAAAGCAGATTTTCAGAAACACTTTGAGTGCTTCATACTTTGTCAGAAAATAAACTATTTGAATTCTATTTTATTTAAACCAGTGTAAATGCATTCCTTGAAAAATGCAGATTTGCAGGAAATATTTTATATAGAAATCAATTATGATGTGAAATGTTGCCTTATTGATATCCATGTTGTATTTCCAAGAAGATGGTGAGATAGAAAGCTATATATGTGCAACTTTAATTTTAAAACCTACTAGATAAAAGTCTCCATTTATGTAGAAGGAGTTATTACATATTTTCTGATAATATATCAGAAGATTTATTGAATATCTACAGGCCAGACCAAGAATAGGGACTGGAAGTTTGTGACTCTGGATATCCATTATCAGCTTACAACTTAGATATCCAGGGGGGATTCTGTAGAAAGAGAAGTCAACAGAAGTTCAGATCCTAGCTCTGTCATTTGATTACCGCCTGAAAGTTCTCACCAAGTTACTTGAAACACTCTGAGATACTGATTTTGCATTGGAATAATGGGTATAACAACACCTTTGCTGCTGTCTTGTGTTGAAATCTCAATGTGATAAGACTTGTAAATGGTTTAATGAAAAGGTAGAGATGTAGTAGGAACTTAACATTTATAATGAATATTATTATTCCATAAAGAGGGTAGTGTTTATCTTCTATTATCTTCCTAAATATTTTTTTTCAAAAACTAGATGTATTAGGAAGCTGTACTGAGATTCATTTTATGATACACTAAATTAGTGTAAGCACGTTGAGTGCATCAGGAAATAAAGCATTAATTCATTTGACCGGTTCCTTCTTCAGCACCTAATGTACTGAAAATATGGCACCATTGTAAATATTTAAAAGAATATAGATTTATATTATATTGTTTTCCTATCACATTTAATTATTTCAGCCTACTTTTAAGAAAAAAAATTACAATTTACTAAAAACTTCAAATGAGAATTTATCAACAATGACTGAAAAACAGGAAAATTATGTGGAATTATTTTTAATAATAGTGATAACTAAACTTTAAACCTTAAACTCTGACTGTTCATGATGCTGAAAAATGTTTCATAAATTATGCATTGAAGTCACTCAATACTGAAAGTGACCCTGAAACAAAGTCTCACTAAACATTCTTAGTTTTAGATAATTAGTGCCCTAACCTGCATTTGATGATTTCTGAAAGCTTAAAAAATAATATGGTGTGCAATTTGCTGAAAGAGTATCAAAGACTTAATAAAACTCTTAGGAAGCAGTTTAAATCCAATTAGAAGTATACGTGGAAACAGGACTTTTCACATCTGTAAGGTTGACAGTAAATATTTATTTTCTGGGTGATACTTGTTAATACTCTGCTTCCTAATGGCTTTTCTGTAATGAATAGCAGATTCAAAATCAGTTTGAAGAGATTGCACTTTTCAAACTTAAACAATAGACTATCTGAAAGCAAACGTTTGCTCATTTGAGTGTTATAGTTCTATTTTAAATAGAATTATGCATTTGGGTTAATAAGAATGCAAACCTTTGTTTCTGACATGTGTTGCACTTAACTGGACAATTTAAAAGCATAATATTTCTCTGCCTTTTTCAAAGATTCCCTAAGCATTTCTACTATAGTGTTTTCTGCTCTTTCATTTAATAATGAAAATAGTGCAAAGGTGTTTTAAAGTTCAAATGATTTCGCATGTATTATCTATTAGCTATAATTTCCTATGTAAAACATATGTTTCTAGCATATTCTTTTCCCTTAAGGATTTATTGATGTTCACCATATAATTTTTACCACTAAATCTACCAGCTTGCATGCATTCATATATAAACCCTCTGCCATTTTTTTGTTTCAGTAGTTGAACCCAATTGTATCTAAGCCCAACCCCTGCCTCGTCTCTCCTGCTTTTTACCTTTGTTTATTATGTTGATTATTCTCATCAACATGTAAACATGCTGTCCTGTTTACCATTTTATACTCTCTCTTGTTTCCAAACACTGCTCCATCAACTGCTCCATCTACTCTCTCGTGTTTCTTTCTTTTTGTTTTTTTTGTATTATACTTTAAGTTTTAGGGTACATGTGCACAACGTGCAGGTTAGTTACATATGTATACATGTGCCATGTTGGTGTGCTGCTCTCGCCTTACGGCAAAATTTCTTGAAAGAGATGTTTCTAATTGTTCTGTATACTTTCCCTTCTCCCAACCTTTTTTGAGTAAACACCAACAATGTTTTCTTTCCCCAAAATCTAATAAAACAGCTCTCGAAAAGCGCTGTGAAATCCAACATTCAGTCCTTCATTATTACTTTATTTCACATATTAAACATTTCATGTGTTGACTTCCTCATCTTTGATTATATATATATAGAGATATATATATACACACACACACATATTCACACAGACATATAAAATTTATATTTTATATATTTTATATATAATATAAAATATTTACATACATATAGGTATGCATACATTTCTGCTTTTTTCTTGCTTGGCCCTGGTACAGCCTTCTCTCACCTCACTGGCTATAGCACCTTTATATAGTTTCTTCAAAATCCAGCTTTATAAATGGTTTTTCAAATACCTATTTCTGATATAAACACCTCTTCTAACTACTGGCCCATATGCACCAAACATCTTAGATGTCTCCACTCAGTGGTCAAAATTAATACATATGAAACATTGCTTTTTTCTAGCCATGCCCAATGGACTTCTCCCCAACTGTTCCTCATCTCAGTAAATGAAAGAGATGGCAACTTCATTCTTCTGAGTACTTAAGCCAGAATATGTGGTATTATCATGAATTTCTGTACTTCTTTCATCCCTCATATTAATCTGTCAACAAATTCCATGGGCTCTATCTTCAAAATATTTCCAGAATCTAACCTTTTCTTACTATTGCCACAGCTATCATCCATGTTCAACTTACTATAATTTATACCCTGGACTTTTGTAATAGCATCCTAAAGTCTCTACATTTTCTGCTATTTCTCTTTAGTCCTCTATAATCCACACAGTAGCCAGAGTGAACCTTTAAAAAATCTAAATCAAATCATACTCCTTCCTGTTGTCTTAGTTCATTTGGGTGCTATAACAAACTACCATAGGCTGGGCAGCTTGTAAATAACCAGCGTTTATTTTTCCATTTCTGGAAGCTGGGAATTTCAAGATCAAGGAACCAACAGATTCGATGTCTGGTGAGGGCCTGCTTTCTGGCCTTGAATTTCTCTGAAGATATTAAGGATGTCTCTATGGCAGGGACACCAGATTCTTTGTTCTTTCCCAGGTGGTTGGTGCCTTTGTTTTTTACAAGTCTCTTTTCAAATGTCTTCTCAGGTGAGAGGATCTTAATGACACTATCCAAAACAATACCAATCCCAGCTAGTTAACTCTGCCACTCTCTATTTCCTTACCTATCCCTTATCTTCTCTATAAAATCTACAGTGTAACATATTTTTTCATATATATATATATATGTGTTTTCTATTTTTGCATGACCTTAGTTCCTTTTAAATATGTAATGACTACATCTTGAGAAAAGATATAATCCCTCGAACTAGTACACAAACTTATCATCGTCATCATTATACCATTTTAATTTCAGATTTACAGGATCATAAAGGCAAATTTTGATCTTCCCTGGGAATTGTTCACTGTTGCGTTCTCATTTCTGCCCTTTGTGGTGAAACCTGTAAGTGGCACAAAGACAAACACTGATGTGGCATAACTTGAAAAGCACTGAAACACTCAACAACCAAAAATGATTGCTCCATCAATAGCCAACAATTATGCCTTGAATTGTGAGAATACACATTATGATTCCATTGAGTTTCAAAAATAAATGTTTTATTAAGGCTATTCTTTAAATGTTTATAAAGTTGTATCAACTTAACATGAATTGACCAGCTTCTAAACAGGTCACAGACCGAACAGAGAACAAAAACATTATTGTAAGTATTATGGTACAAATGTTTACAGTAGAGAGAGGGTAATGCTGATAGAGAAAATCTGAATAATCTTTCTCTCTAGAATTTTGGGTAGCCACTAAACATTTTTGTTAGAATGAATGAGATAGAATACAATTTTCAATGAGAGAGAGAGTGAGCAAATATTAAAACTTTATTTGCCTCACATTTTTAGTAAAAAAATAAAGATCATGGCTGGAACATATTATAAAAATAGAGGGAAAATATTTTGAGTATAATAATCCACCAATATCCACACATGACCTTGGGAAGGCAAGGTAAAGAGGAAAGTGAAGGAAACCTGGAACATAGAGAGACAAAATGGAGTTTAGAAGCAGATGATATGGCTTAAAGTCTGGCTCTATGGTTTAACTGCTTACATAAATCTAGCTCAGTGATTTACATTTTCTAAAATATACAATTCAAAGTGTTCCTGATTCATCTATGAGGGCTCTCAAGGAAGTGGTAATATGACCTCTTCATCAGAGTATGGTGCAAAGAAGATCTTTTGCATTGTTGGAAAGGGTTAACAAGTGGAATGCAATGCTTAAATGCTTTAATTTTTTGTAGGTTAAAATTGATTCTCAATTTTCACAAAATTAGCATAGTAGAACTGAATATATGTGTGAACATTGAATAATGATGCCAGTCACACTTAGAATGTTTATAGGAGATGAAAAATATACATAATTATTCATGTCTATTATAATTATTTACAGGGTACATCATAATAAAAAACCTTCTCCAACTAGCCTTATTTTATTCATATGGTTTTTATTCTCTACCAATCCTCTTTTGAATTTTGAAAATGTCTAAGGACATGAATCATGTCTTCATTATCTGTGCATCCCCATTGTATCTGGGTATTAACTTGTACATTTAATAGGCACTTAATGTTTGCTCTGTTTTTTTTTTAACAGTTAAATAGAATCTTGATTTACAAAAATCACCACTGTAAAATACAAATTGTTGTGAAATGATTCAGCCAACTAATATGTATTTACTAATATACTAATTAATGAATAGTGCCTATTATGTACAGGAAATGAGTCTGTTTGTCACTCCCTTCACTTTCTAACTTACATTTATCCAAATTTGCCATCATTGAAGGAGCATATGTATTTATGTTTGGGAAGTAAGGATAGAATAACTTTCGAGAATAAAGCAGGGGCTGACTTTCTGCTTGCAATTATAATTCTTCTTTTTAGGATTTCCATAGAAACATTAAAGGGCATAGATATCAAAGCTAAACCATTCTGATTTAAAATATTTTTTACCAAACTGGATCAGAGGAAAAATATCAGCTGCCTTTCCATTTTATCTCTTCCTTTAGAACTATCCCACATGCATTCCAGTTTCCAAGTCACAGAATCCAAGATATTGCTATTTACAGACTTCAATTGCTTTATAGGCAAATGGACTTTTGAAAACTGGCCTGGCAACATGACTACCTATTATCACAGTGCCACTATGGAGACATTAACTTCCACATTCTATATATCCATAACACCTTGTAATATTGTAAACAGAGGACCATGAAAGGTTGTATAGTTAGTGCCCTGCACAGAAGTGCTTTGTGGAGGGGGTGAGCAGTGATGGAAATCAAGCCCCCTTCTGGTCCACAAGTTCTATGGCCTGGTGTGGAGCCACAGCAGCAGGAGAAAGAATAGCTATTGTTTAATTCCTTAAAGTAGAGGCAAACCTTTAGTAATTTCCATAAAGGGAAAGAAAGGAGAGTTAAATTATAATGGTGGCACAAGGAATGGCAGTGAAGTTAGTGAAAAAGAGAAAAGGAAAATTTTCGCTATCATGAGGAAGGGTGGATGCAGTCTGCGGTGGCTTTAAATCAATGGTTTCCAGCCAGAAGCTTTTATCTCCCAGGGGACATTTGGCAATATCGGTAGACATTACTGATAGTCATGACATTACTGATTGACATTACTGCTACTGTCATTTAGTGGGTAATAGCCAGACATGCTGCTAAACATCCCCCAATACATAGGGCAACCCCCACATCAAAGAATTATCCAATCCAAAATGTCACCAGTGCTGAGGTTGAGAAATTTTACCTAAAACAAACACATAAAATGTTTTATTTTAATTAATTAATTAATTAATTAATTTTTTTGAGACGGAGTCTGGCTCTGTCGCCCAGGCTGGAGTGCAGTGGCGCGATCTTGGCTCACTGCAAGCTCTGCCTCCCGGGTTCACGCCATTCTCCTGCCTCAGCCTCCCGAGTAGCTGGGACTACAGGCGCCCGCCAGCACGCCCGGCTAATTTTTGTATTTTTAGTAGAGACGGTGTTACACTGTGTTAGCCAGGATGGTCTCGATCTCTTGACCTCATGATCTGCTGTCCTCGGCCTCCCAAAATGCTGGGATTACAGGCGTGAGCCACCGCACCCGGCCCATAAAATGTTTTAAAAGAGGACAAATTGGTGGAAATGAGGTTTGCTGAAAGGAGACTGACATCCAAATCAAATATTATTTAATGAATTATTTTTCCTGACAATTAAATTGTTTAATTAATGTAGTGATTGTTACATGCTATGAAATAAACTGCCAGCCAATTATGTTTTTGTGTGAAAAAAAATGTCTCCTGACTCCAAACTTACTCAGAAATGTATTTTATATGATTTGAAGTATGTCTTTTTCCAGGATTGTTGCACAATGAGATAGCTAAATCTTAGGGAAAAAGTTTCCTTTGGCATTTTGATCTATTTATTATTTACATAGAATTGTTACTAGAAACTTCTGAAATTGAAAATAGAAAATTCAGAGAATGCTGTTCTGAGATTTTCAGTCTTGATTATGTAAACTCAACAAAATATGAAGGATTTGTGTAGTAAATATGTAAATATGCTTAATTATTTCAGTTTGATTCCAAGTTTTCTTTATCCTTATTAAGAGGCTACTCCTCATCTTGCATGATTAAGCAAAAAAGGTACTCTCAGCTGGCGGAAGCATCATTTGGCTTTAGAACATGTCAGTGTGAGAAAAGCTCGTGTGCCTTGAACTCTGGCTGACACAACTCACAGCTTCACTCATATGTAAATGCAGGTGTCCTGCCCATAAATGTGCACTCTAGAGATTTCTAGGTATCTACACTTGTATTTCCATAAAGCATATATTTTTCCTTTTTAAATAGTAAAGGCATATGGTATTACACGTTTATAATTTTCAGTTCTAAATAATACAAATGATCTGTTACCAAGTGTGATATTGCTTGATTAGTTAGATTCAACAGAATTATTATTCTGCTTCTTTTCCTCTGTAAAATGCTGTTTAATGTACTGGCATTGCAACTGCTGACTCATCAGAAAGAATATGACAGCATTCTGCTAGCTAGCAGTTAAGAAATATTTGCTGTTTAAAAGAAAATAATGAGTTTCTCAAAATTTTTAAAAGTGCGTTTTGAGAGTACAAAAGTACCGAGATCATCACTGGAAAATACCTAGCCATCACTGTCATTCTCTCATTTGATTATTTTCCCTGTGACATTATCAACATTGTTTTATCACATAAGCCAAGCAGCTTGCATATTTGTTTCCACGGGAGGAGAAGGAAACCACTTCCTGAAATGTTTAATCATTTCAAAAAGTAAATTTTGTATTGCTGAATCATTTAATTGGAGGATATAAATGTGGTATGAGAAGTTAACAATCTGTGAGACACAACTAATAATATTTAAAAGAAGGTGTCCTAAACTCTAGGTCTGATTTGTAAATCAAGTTCTCATTCTTAGATTTCACAAAAAATGAAAAGACTGGCAAATATAATAGTAAGAACTAAGCTACACTGAATTTAAGATTTGTTTGATGTCCCGATGCCATGATAGGGATAATTCAATGATAGAATATAGCATATTGGTGTTATGATTCTACTATACATGCAAGATATCATGAGAAACATCGTAAAGTTTATAAGCTTTCTACAGTAAAGAGGAAGGCCCCGATTCTAGAATCATGTTGCTAGAGTTCATACACCAGCTTCCTTCTTCAGTAGCTTGTGGTCATGGACACATTATTTAACTTCTCCATACCTCACTTTTTTAATTAAAACCAACAACATAATGTTACCGCTCTCATAAATTAAATGAGATGATCAGTATATAAAACTAGCTCATAGTGCTTTTCTCATGGCAAAGGCCAAATAAATACTTAAACAATCTGTGTGCAATGTGGAACAGTAATTCATAGAAAGGTAATCATGTTATTTCATAGTTTGAGGATCATTAGAGATCAATTGGCCCAGCCTCCCAATGGATACTGGTCTTTCTTCTTGTGGTTTCACAGGAGGGCAGAATAGCAGTTGTTTGAACTGGTCTCTGATAAGATATTTACTCCTCCAAGCATGAGGCAACATATTTCATGATGACTATTTACTGGGATCCCATTTAGATAACTCTAACATTTAGGAAATGTTCCCTTTGAATGAACAACAAGCAATACTCTCTAAATATTTTGCTCATTGAAGCTAGAAAGAGAATCGCTCCCAGGATGCTTTTTATATATTGGAAGAACATATTCATGCCCATGCTGAAGCTTTTCTTTCTTTTAAAATTAAACATCTCTGGTTCCATCTTCATGACATATTTCAAAACGTTACACATCTTGCTTACTTTCTGATTCAAAGTCCTCTTAAAACTCAGTACACCTTACTGTTCACAGTATTTTAGTTGTTCACTTATAAACCCAATGGAAAAGCCTCTTTTCTCCTGCCTCTGAGGCTCTTCTTCCATGATTTCATTTCAACATCACTTCAGGTCTTGTTTACATTTTGATTTGCCATGTTTTTATTATTAATATTATTCTTTATGTTCTGGGATACATATGCAGAATGTGCATGTTTGTTGCATAGGTATACATGTGCCATGGTCTCCAGCATTTGTTGTTTCCTGACTTTTTAATGATTGCCATTCTAACTAGCATGAGACAGTATTTCTTTGTGGATTTGATTTACATTTCTCTAATGACCAGTGATGATGAGGTTTTTTTCATATGTTTGTTGGCCTCATAAATGTCTTGTTTTGAAAAGTGTCTGTTCATATGCTTTGCCCACTTTTTGATGGATTTGTTTGTTTTTCTACCTTGTAAATTTGTTGAAGTTCCTTGTAAATTCTGAATATTAGCCCTTTGTCAGATGGATAGATTGCAAAAATTTTTTCCCATTCTGTAGGTTGCCTGCTCACTCTGATGATAGTTTCCTTTGCTGTGCAGAAGCTCTTTAGTTTAATTAGATCCCATTTGTCAATTTTGGCTTTTGTTGCCATTGCTTTTGGTGTTTTAGTCATGAAGTCTTTGCCCATGCCTATGTCCTGAATGGTATTGCCTAGGTTTTCTTCTAGGGTTTTTATGGTTTTAGTTCTTACGTTTAAGTCTTTAATCCATCTTGAGGTAATTTTTGTATAAGGTGTAAGGAAGGGATCCAGTTTCAGCTTTCTACATATGGCTAGCCAGTTTTCCCAACAAGATTTGTTAAATGGAGAATCCTTTCCCCATTTCTTGTTTTTGTCAGGTTTGTCAAAGATCAGATCATTGTAGATGTGTGGCATTATTTCTGAGGCCTCTGTTGTGTTGCATTGGTCTATATATCTGTTTTAGTATCAGTACCATGCTGTTTTGATTACTGTAGCCTTGTAGTATAGTTTGAAGTCAGGTAGTGTGATGCCTCCAGCTTTGTTCTTTTTGCTTAGGAATGTGTTGACTACATGGGCTCTTTTTTGGTTCCATATGAAATTTAAAGTAGTTTTTTTTCTAATTTTGTGAAGAAAGTCAATGGTAGCTTGATGGGGATAGCATTGTATCTACAAATTACTTTGGACAATATGGTTATTTTCATGATATTGATTCTTCCTATCCATGAACATGGAATGTTTTTCCATTTGTTTGTGTACTCTCCTATTTCCTTGAGCAGTGGTTTGTAGTTCTCCTTGAAGAGGTCTTTCACATCCCTTGTAAGTTGTATTCCTAGGTATTTTATTCTCTTCGTAGCAATTGCGAATGGGAGTTCACTCACTATTTGGCTCTCTGTTTGTCTGTTATTGGTGTAAAGGAATGCTTGTGATTTTTACACATTGATTTTGTACCCTGAGACTTTGATGAAGTTGCTTATCAGCTTAAGGAGATTTTGGGCTGAAACGATGGGGTTTTCTAAATATACAATCATCTCATCTGCAAACAGAGAAAATTTAATTTCCTGTTTTCCTATTTCAATACTTGTTATTTCTTTCTCTTTCCTGATCTCCCTGGCCAGATCTTCCAACACTTTGTTGAATAGGAGTGATGATAGAGGACATCCTTGTCTTGTGCTGGTTTTCACAGGGAATGTTTCCAGTTTTTGCCCATTAAGTATGATATTGGCTGTGGGTTTGTCATAAATAGCTCTTATTATTTTGAGATACATTTCATCAATACCTAGTTTATTAAGAGTTTTTAGCAGAAAGGGGTGTTGAATTTTATTGAAGGCATAATCTGTATCTATTGAGATAATCATATGGCTTTTGTCATTGGGTTGTTTATGTGATGGATTACATTTGTTGATTTGCATATGTTGAACCAGCTTGCATCCCAGGGATGAAGTCGACTTGATCGTGGTCAGTAAGCTTTCTGATGTGCTGCTGGATTTGGGTTGTCAGTATTTTATTGAGGATTTTTGCATTGATGCAGGGATATTGGCCTTAAATTTTCTTTATTTGTTGTGTCTCTGCCAGGTTTTGGTATCAGGATGATGCTACCCTCATAATATGAGTTAGGGATGAGTCCCTCTTTTTCAGTTGTTTGGAATAGTTTCAGAAGGAATGGTACCAGCTCCTCTTCATACCTCTGGTAGAATTTGGCTGTAAATCCATCTGGTCCTGGGCTTTTTTTGGTTTGTAGGCTATTCATTACTGCCTCAATTTCAGAACTTGTTATTGGCCTATTCAAGGATTTGACTACTTCCTCATTTAGTCTTGGGAGGGTTTATTTGTTCAGGAATTTATCCATTTCTTCTAGATTTTCTAGTTTATTTGTGTAGAGGTGTTTACAGTATTCTCTGATGGTAGTTTGTTTTTCTGTGGGGTAAGTGGTGATATCCCTTTTATGATTTTTTATTTTGTCTATTTGATCCTTCTCTCTTTTCTTCTTTATTAGTTTGGCTAGCAGTCTATTTTGTTAATCTTTTCAAAATACTAGCTCCTGGATTCATTGATTTTTTGAAGGGTTTTTTGTGTCTCTGTCTCCTTCAGTTCTGCTCTGATCTTAGTTATTTCTTGTCTTTTGCTAGCTTTTGAATGTGTTTGCTCGTGCTTCTCTAGTTCTTTGCATTGTGATGCTGGGGTGTCAATTTTAGATCTTTCCCACTTTCTCCTGTTGGCATTTGGTGCTATAAATTTCCATCTAAACACTGCTTTAGCTGTGTCGCAGAGATTCTGGTATGTTGTGTCTTTGTTGTCATTGATTTCAAAGAACTTATTTATTTCTGCCTTAATTTCATTATTTACCCAGTAGTCATTCAGGAGCAGGCTGTTCAGTTTCCATATAGTGTGGTTTTAGTGAGTTTCTTAATCCTGAATTCTAATTTGATTGCACTGTGGTCTGAGGGACTGTTTGTTATGATTTCTGTTCTTTTGCATTTACTTAGGAGTGTTTTACTTCCAATTGTGTGGTCAATTTTAGAATAAGTGTGATGTGGTGCTGAGAAGAATGTATATTCTGTTGATTTGGGGTGGAGAGTTCTGTAGATGTCTATTAGGTCCACTTTGTCCAGAGCTGGCAAATACTAAGAGATTTTGTGACTACCAGCCCTGCCTTACAAGAGCTCCTTGAAGAAGCACTAAATATGGAAAGGAAATACCGGTATCAGCTGCTGTAAAAACATACCAAATTGTAAAGAGCATCGACAGTATGAAGAAACTGCATCAACTAATGGGCAAAATAACCAGCTAGCATCATAATGACAGGATCAAATTCACACATAACAATATTAACCTTAAATGTAAACGGGCTAAATGCTCCAATTAAAAGACACAGACTTGCAAATTGGATAAAGAGTCAAGACCCATCGGTGTGCTGTATTCAGGAGACCCATGTCACGTGCAAAGACACACATAGGCTCAAAATAAAGGGATGGAGGAATATTTACCAAGCAAATGGAAAGCAAAAAAAAAGCAGGGGTTGCAATCCTAATCTCTGATGAAACAGACTTTAGACCCACAAAGATCAAAAAAGACAAAGAAGGGCATTACATAATGGTAAAGGGATCAATGCAACAAGAAGAGCTAACTATCCTAAATATATATGCACCCAATACAGGAGCAGCCAGATTCAAAAAGCAAATTCTTATAGACCTACAAAGAGACTTAGACACTCACACAATAATAGTGGGAGACTTTAACACTCCACTGTCAATATTAGACAGATGAATGAGACAGAAAATTACAAAGATATTCAATACTTGTTATATGTTATTTTCTGTTTGTTTTCTGAGCCACCTACCACTATGGATCCCTATTAAGCTGAATGCCTAGTGAAATATTAAGCATAACGTTGCTTGTGTGCATTTTTGTGGACAACTGCAAACAATGTGACATACCTTAGAGGTTCTAATCTAGTCATTTAAAAGCTTTGAACATGACAGCCCAAGGACAGAGCTTTGACTCCACTTTCCCTCCTCTTTTTTTCACTCCTTCTCCTTCTTTTTTCTTCTTTTTAAGTATCATCTTTAAATTTATTTAGGATGTATTATCTGACATGCTAAGCAATTTACCTACATTGTCTATAAAATCCTCACAATCAATAGCTACGGTAGTAACAGTTTTCCATTGTGCACATGAAAATACTAATACAGAGAGAAGTCATCACCTCCTAGTTCCAGTCTGTTTGACATGTAAGCTGTTAAAGTTCACCTGGTGAACAGCTGTGGATCAGCACCCTTTGGATACACTTTCTGTAAATTGTCATGAATCTATTTTATTGTACTTTTTTAGTCCACATTTATCTTCTATATTCATAGTGATTTTATAAATAATTTTGTCAAATGCCTTAATGACTTTCTAATATACTGTTGTGAGTATTGACTTATTATACAATAACTGTTCTTCATCCCTCAAACTTCAACAAAAAATGACTAAAACCACAGCAACAACAACAACAATACAAAAACAAAATGGAGAAAAATATATTCAGCTATCAAATTCAGTCCTGCTATAAAGTGAAACCAGAAACAAGAACAAAAACAACAAATAATAGTTATTAGCAGAAATTAGAAAGGGCACTACACAGACTTGAGTTTTGTGCCCAGCTCAATCACTCTCAGCAAGTTAATATTTCTGAGTATCATTTTCTCTTTTAAAAAAAGATGACTGATATGGTTTTGTTGTGTCCCTACCCAAATCTCATCTTGAATTGTAATCCACATGATCCCCATGTATCATGTCAAGGGATGGACCCAGTGGGAGGTGATTGGACCATGGGGATGGTTTCTCCCATGCTGTTCTCATGATAGTGAGGGAGTTCTTATGAGATCTGATGGTTTTATAAATGGCACTTTCCCCTGGACTTTTCACTCTCTCACCTGCCACCATGTAAGATGTGACTGCTTCCCCTTCCACCATGATTGTAAGCCTCTTGAGGCCTCCCCAGCCATGCAGAAGTATGAGTTAATTAAATCTCTTTTCTTTCTAAATTGCCCAATCTCAAGCAGTTCTTTATAGCAGTGTGAGAATAGAATAATGCAATCACTTTATGTGTTTTAGTATCAGAAACACTTCTTACAGTCCAGTACCTGGCTCATCATTATTAAAATAAATAATTGTAAATCCAGCATATAATAAATTGCATGGACAGGCCTGGAATATACCAATCAAAACAGGGATGATTTATGCAGTCATAAAAAAATCCCCAAATTTAATGGCTAATACTGCACTAGTTTATTCCTCACTAACACTATGTGTCTAATAATGTGTGTTGGCAGGAGTATTTCACTCATTATAATTGCTGGAGGACCCAGGATGACAGAGGCTCTTCCTCCATGCTCACCTAATTGCTGAGACAGAAAAAAAGAAAGCAGCTATGGCCAATCATATAATGGATTTGAAAGGTTTTATGTGAAAGCAACCAGTGCACTTACATTTATTGGTTATGCAAGTCAACCTTACATGCTTTAATATAAAGTTCCTGGAAGGAAGAGTACGTGAATAATTGTTGAATCATATATTGGGCAGAGTTCTTTAGAGAAACAGAACCCACAGGATGTGTGTGTCTCTATATCTATATCTAATCTTTATCTCTATCTATCTATCTATGGAAAGAGAGAAAGAGAGAGATCTATTGTAAGTAATTGGTTCATACAATTATGAAGGTTGAGTAGTCCAAACCCAGTAGAGCCCATAGCATAGTTTCAGTCAGAATCCAAGTCTTAAGAACCAGAAGAGCAAATAGTTTATGGTCCAGTTGGAGCCCAAGTTTAAAGGTAGAAGGCTGATGTCCTAGCTTGAAGAAACTCAGGCAGAGAAAATATTCAGACCTTCGATGGATTGAATGAGGCCAACCAATATTGGAAAAGGCAATCTGCTTTACACAGTCCACTGATTCAAATGTTAATCTCAGCCATAAATATTCTTACTGATGCACCTAGAAATAATGTTTAACCAAATATCTGGGCACAGTGTGGCCCAGTCAAGTTAACACATAAAATTAGTCATTACAAACCACATCTCCAAAGCACTGTATGTTTGAAATTTAAGTGGGAATTTGCATAAAAACAAGCCAGGCTATATGGTAATTTTAAATAAACAGGGGGTGTGAAAAAGCATCACAGTGGAATTTTTAAAATTGCTTACGTAAGAGTAACAGTCCCCTTTCACTTGGTAGATAGGAAAGTACTTGAAGGAAAAAGAATCCCTAGCCCTGATATTTTAGTCTCATGGTAGAAAAGCCAAAATTTCATCAATTTCTCATTTTCATGTACAGTCACAATTCTTTTCCCCCCACACACACCATATTTCCATCCACATATGTGTCTAACGCACTTCAGAAATGATAGCATGCAGCTGCTTCCACTGCCATCTGTTTTATTGTAAGTCATTCTTTTCAATTTTATGTAATGTCTGAGAATTGTGTCATTCTTGTATGAGGTTTCTCTTCTTTTATATTGTGCCACTTCAGGATCAGATGCTTTTTAAAGAAATATACATCAAATTTATACTGTATTTATATTTTCACTGGAATAACATCTAATCAGCATAAAGAGCTTGAAATTAAACTGTAAATAACTGATGTTCATTTGTAAAATCAAAGACAGTCTACATAACTACTGTATTTTTATTGTACAGGCATTAGTAATGTTAATGGACTAGATTAGTTTTTATATGTACTAAAAGTGCTTATGCATATTGTTTGCCAAAAGCATGACAGAATATAGAGAACCTGGTTGTAAATGGAAACAGATATATTTTTAAAATAGTCTCTTTCTGATTTGTTATTTGGTTCTACTATTCTTCAATAAGAGATTTGACTTTTCATATTGGGAAGAAAAAATGATCACTACAGCCACATTAGGCAGAAATGATTACAGAATCTTATGTTTTTGAGTCACATTCATTCAGAAGGCAGAAATGTTGAGACTATGGATTTCAGCCAGGCTGTTTACTTCCTGGTGAGCCATTCATTTCATCTTGTGTGATACTTGCAAAACTGATTTCTACTAGTCTGAGCATTTTGGTACAGTTGAGCACAGCAGCTGTGCTCTAGGCTGTTTGATAAGGGTCATACCTGTCCTTCAGAAGATAGCATTCTCTGATTTTTGTGGTCCACAGTACAAGGACATTTGAGATGAAAAAGAGGTTATAGAACTTACTTAGCTTAACGTCAGCATTTTGTAAAGGAGGAAGCATTTTTTTTTTTTAAAAAGGAAGATACCAATCTTTGTCACTACCAGAAGCATCGTTAATCACTTACTCTTTCTGAACCTCTGACTAAGCATGCATTGCAGGTTAAAGAAAACCAGTTTTAGAGCTGCAGAGAGGTCATAGGTTTGTTTTCCAAGGTCACATGCAAGGAAAATATTGGGAGATAATATCTTTTGTGTTTCCTTTTCCCCCACAATATCTCAACATTGGTACTTTCCAAAAATGCAACTTAAAGTAATAGAGCTTAGCATACTAATGCCTCAAAATTAAGAGTAACCCAAAAGTTAATTAAGTGAACCCTGAATCTTTCACAGATTTACTACTACTAATGTGTTATGTGACCCTGGGCAAATTAATCTATTTTTTTACTCATCTGATGTTTTAAAAAGCTGTTTCAACAACAACTTATTATTTTTTTCAGAAAATGTTCTATTGAAATGAGAGAAACTACTCACCAATGAAAGGAACATCACCCACATATTCTATGTCAAACTAGATCGTCAAGTTTAAGAGTTTACTGTGTGCTTGGCTTCTAACCACAGATAAATCATATGTCACTAGAAACTGTATAACTATAAATGATACAGATTATTGAAGTGTCTACTACTAAGCCTGGCACATTCAATTAAAAGTAATAAGGCAGCAAAATGATAAGATTCGAGATTCACACAACAAAGTACAAATGCTGATTTGAAACCTTGTGATAACAAACTCTCCAAATCTTGATTTCATATATATTATTACTATTTCTACTCAGCTGGGATGATTTTTGCTTTTTAGAATGTTCTATTTTTTCTTTAAAGTTCAGTTTTATCTCTACTATCTCTGTAAAATATAACTTGTCCATTTTTGCTGAAAAATATCTTGCTCTTGTCAGATCTCGAACAGAAACTAAAGTCAGGGACAGTCACTGGTTTCTTCTTTCTTTTAAACTTTGTTTTATATATATATTATATATATATACATGCACATATATGTACATATATAATACACATACACATGCATACATATATAATGAGTTTATATGTATACAAACTCATTTAGATTTATAAGATTTTATTAACTGCTACATACATACTGTCATTTTTTGAGGATAAAGAAGAAATAGCCTTCTAGAAAATAAGCTTTTTAAAAGGGGCTTATATTTTGAATTTAGAAACATGGCTTCTGCTGTGTGGATTGGTAGGTCAGTCTTGTCCCATCTTTCAATCTGGCTCTCAATACCAGCTCCCCACATTCCCCAGATGTCACCGTTCATTGTTACAGATGTTGGACACTCTATTTGCTTTGCACTGGATGAGCCTTGATTGTCCAGCTTTCAGATAGAAGGTGAATTTTCTTCATCTCCCATTTGTAGTCTGTAATAATATACTTCCACCACTCATCTTTAAGTGTCAATTGCTTCTGTGCAAGGACATTTGTGAATTGTGGAATTTGAAATATTTATTTTATGCCTTAAATAATTATTCTATTCTTAGTCTCTAAAAAATCTCAAATAAAGGTTGAAGATTCTCCGGAGTTGCTGCTCTAGATTTTTCTTGTTTTGTTTTGTTTTTTTCAAAAATACAAAATAGTGTATGCATGAGTATCTTGGATTCCCTTCACAGCCAGGGTCACTACCTGACTTCCCAATTGAAGAAATTAGAAAGAGGAGCACAGAGAGCAGCAGGGGTGAATCGAAGGTCTCACTTTATGAGGTGTAAGTGAGGTAGTTTGCCAACTCCCTAGTGCTCTCAGAAATTGCATGAGGTCACTGGAGAATTCTTAGCCTTTGTTACCTGCCACTTTAGATTTGCCAAGCTAGCATACCGAACATTATACTCAGGACTCTGTGGTGACACTGGCCACTTTTAAAATTCATTAATTCACAAAAATTTTAAACCACTACTTTTTCAAGTCTATCTTTTCTTCCCAGTATATGCTAAAGAATCCTGGGTTTTTATGGAAATTCATCATAATAATCCAACCGTAGCCACCTTTTTTCAGAGATAAAATTAAGTCCAACGTAAAGCAGAATGAATAAAGATCAGAGCAGCTCACAGAACTCCAGAACTATTTTATCTATAACTTTCTGCTAAAAACACTGGCGCAGTTCATGCACAGGTAAAAATAATGATATAGCTGAGATTCCTCATGACTCTCTTGAGCTTCTGTAAATCTCAGAGAAATTAAATAAAATGTATATAGGTACCTGTATCCTCTGAATCAAGGAGGTGGGTAAGCCCAGTGTCAATTTTTTACATTTTCTATTTAAATAGTCAATTATTCCCACTGCAGCACAATTCCTCTGACAGAGCAAACATGGTTATATTAGTTCAGCCTCATCATTTCATAATATCTGCACAACCTTCTTATAATTCTGTGATTCTATATGTCTATGCAGGTATAGCTGGTCTTATAAAATCCACTTTCTTTCAGATAGTGTAGGACACTCTGCATGGCCTAACTCGTAATTCCTAATATTATACAACCTTCATTGGGATGTGAATAATTATCTTCAGCCCTTTTTTGGCCATTCACATCTGAGTATGTCTAAATTCTTTATGTCCTTAACTGATATGTATTAAGTATATATTTGTACAACACAACTCAGCTTTTATTTTTCTCTTTTGTTTTCTGCTTTTTTAATCCAGCATCACTTCTCTCACAATGTATCATGGCCAATAATGGCATCTTATCTTTCATATATACAGAAAACTCTAGTTGTCTGTTGATCCTGGAACAAATATTTATTGGTACTAGAAAAACTACAATAATCAGATGTAAGATTTGTTGACCAATCAGATGTAGTCCATGAAATATCTTAGGATTATACCACTGTCTGGACAGATACCTCATAACATTCTTGTCCATGTGTTTCTATGAACATAGCCTTAGGCTAAACACTATATATGGCAATTTGATTTTTTTCTCTATAAATATGACACACACTGAGATGTCCTGTTCAGAGTCCTTTTGAAAAAGTGTGGTTAGCTGACAGCTTTTAGCTATTAACTACATAATCAGCCTCAAAGAGCTAAAGTCACACTCTTCTTGGGTGGCCCTCAGCCATTGACAGAGTAAAGTTGTATTACAAGGTCCTAGACATTTTTATGCAATAGGATAGTTCTTTAATGACAAGCCTTTGGCTGGAAAATAATTTGACCCAAAGTTCAGGTAGCCTCCGGGAGCTGAGGGTGGCCCCCAGCCAACAGCCATCATGGAAAACAATACCTCAATCCTACAACTACATGAAACTAAATTCTGACAGCCATCAGAATAAACTTAGGAATAGATATCATTCCAGAATATCGAGGTGAGAACTCAGAATAGCAAACACCTTAAGTTCAGCCTTGCGATAATTTGAGCAGAAAACTCAGTCTCTCCATTTGCTTCTTATATATAGGACTGTGTTGCTTTGCAGCCCTAAGTTTGTGGTAATGTGTTACACAGGAAAAGAAACTAATACAGTTACATTTTATCATGTTTTGGAATAATGCAATTAGTACAAGATATCCTTCTGAATTCTGCAAATAATAAGACTTTAAAATTCACTATTCTGTTTCACAGAAAAGCCAGTTTAAAAATTAGCGATTAATCATTTTCCAATAAATAATTTGCACAGGTAATCTCATAATCTTATGGAAACATCCTTGTTTTAAGTAAGCATTAAAGCAGAACTTGAATAATTTTGCTGTAAACCTTGCAAGTTGAATATCACTTAAATGAAAGACAAGACTTGCAAATACCAGAATTTTTCTGGGAGAACGGCCAAGCATTTTACATGTTCTAATGAGAATGTTACAAGGAAAAGAGATTTATCAGTAGAATTGTAAAAATGTATAGTCATCTAATTTATAATAAAATATAGTTATAATGTCTCTTACCCTGTTTCTATAAGGTAAGCTTTACTATAAGCATCTACCTCTTTCTGACCACGAAGAATCTCTTTGAACTTTGCAACAATCACCTCCCACAAACAGTACTAATATGCACTAATATACACATACTAAGAAGTCCTTCTTTTCCCTTAGACAACCTACTCTATTAGGAACAATTGAGATGTTTAAATGCTGTGGATAAGAAGTTTGGGATTTCAATATATAATTTAGAAAGCATAATTAAGGGTAATGCGTGAATAATTGGCTGTCATACAAAAAATGTCTGTTGCTTTGGATCCTTGGATCCAAAAGATTATTTTTTCAAAGGATATAACAGGAAAATGGAAACTTTCCCACTTTATATTGACAAATGTATTCAAATAATAATCCTGAAATGGCCAAAAGGAGTCCTTGTTTAGCATGTGTAAGGAATTAAGATTCAGTCGCAGATACAGTAGTGCCCCCTTACCTACAATTTCACTTTCTGAGATTTCGGTTTTCTGCAGCCAAAAAAATATTAAATGACAAATTGCAGAAATAAGCAAATTGTAAGTTTTAAATTCTGTGATGTTCTGAGTAGCGTGATGAAATCATGCTCTGTTCCACTCTATTCCACTCTGAATGTGAATCATCCCTTTGGCCAGCTTATCCACGCTGTATTTGCTGCTTGCCCAATACAAAGTGATTGTATAAGAATCAGAGTTTAAGTGGCTTTAGGAACTATCTGAGGTTTCAGGCATCCATTGGGGGTCTTGGAATACATCCCCTGTGAATAAGGTCGAGGCTACCGTATGGAAAACTTCTTTTTTCTTGCCTGAACCTTTATATCATTCAGATGCTCAAATGTAAATATTTCCAAACCTTTCAAGTTACTCAGGAAGTAGTAGATATATATCTCACTAAGGTAATAGTAAAACTGCCTTCTAAGTTACATACATGTGTGTTATATTACACAGATTAGAAAATACTGGAAAGTGATCCAAGAAATTTCGGTGTTATCTTTGTTAATTTAAATCTTCTTTCACTGAGTACAATATTTCTGGAAAATAAGCTAAACAATTTAATGTTTTCATATAGGAGAAAGAACTGTTTTCCATAAATGAAAGACAAGACAAATATATCTTATTATTTTATTTGTAATATATTGAAAACATACCAGCTTGGTGCACAAGTAGTTTCAGTTTTTGCCATTAAAAGTAATGACAAACACCGCAATTATGTTTGCAAAAAAAAAAAATAGAAAGTTGTTTTTATGGTCAATAAACAGTTTACAGATTTTTAGATATGTACTATCTTTATATGTGTAAAATTAAGTCTTTTAAAAAATAAAACTATTTTTGTAGTAGATGAATACTCATTATGTTTGTAATTGATGTGTATTAATTATGCAAATACTTGACAAAAAGTCGTCTCATATTTTTGATAAGGGCAAAGGCCACTCATCTTAATCTAACCTTCCCCAGAGGGAGAAAAAGAGTTCAATTACATTAATTTACATATTCCTTGATGCTTAGCAACCCTATCTTAAGTCAGACTCAGCTAGTGATTTTTTATTCAAGACCACCATATAAAAATTAGAAGCAAAATTTAAGTCATAAATGTTAAGCCATAATCCCCCTTAAGAGGGAAGTTAAGTTGCATGATGGACTTGAGTAGATGAGACAAAGTCTCAAACTTACTGTAGTTTAACATCCTCATTACCAGAGAAAACACTGATTATGTCTCAGAGCTGCTTTCCCTCCTAGCAAAATGGGGGAAACACTATGGTGTTTATGCTTATAAGCCTAAGAACTGCGGCAAGGATTCAATTAATTAATATAGGTAGAGCATCCAGAAATGGATCAGATGTGTAACAGGTTCTCAGTAAAAGCTGAATCACTTCTCAACTTTGTCACCCAACTTTTTAATAACCAATTGTCACCAATTCTTTTTAATAACCATGTATTTTAAACATAGCCGTTTATCAAAATGGACAAAAACAGCAGACTATATATGTATGTATTAATTTATATTTGATTTAAATGTATTCTTTATGCTGTATTATATATCAACCTAAGACTCTACAACGCATATTATATGGATGTTAAGGAGCTATTTATATATTCAAACACATAGTTTAATCATATGTAAAAAGTTTAATCATATGTAAAAAGTTTAATCATACATAAAGTGTTTAATCATACATTATTGATTTTTTAAACAGTCGTGAAAATGTACACAGCCATTTATTTATAAAAGCAACAAGGTAATTAGTATTATTTTCATAAAAGAAAATTTTATTTTATTTCCATATCAAGGTCCAAATTTTATTTTATTTATTTATTTTTTTATGTTTATTTCCATATCAAGGTCCAAATTTTATTTTATTTATTTTTTTTTTATGTTTGAAACGGAGTCACGCTGTCACCCAGACTGGAGTGCAGTGGCACAATCTCAGCTCACTGCAAGCTCCACCTCCTGGGTTCACACCATTCTCCTGCCTCAGCCTCCCGAGTAGCTGGGACTACAGGTGCCCACCACCATGCCCGGCTAATTTTTGTATTTTTAGTAGAGACAGGGATTCACCATGTTAGCTAGAATGGTCTCCATCTCCTGACCTCATGATCCACCCGCCTTGGCCTAAATTTTATTATGTGAAGCTATTTTTTAAATCAAATCTTCCTTTTTATTTTCAACAGACTATGTTAACCTTATTGCTCACGTTGATCTTATGTGTAGCACTGCCAAATGTCATTAAACATATGCTTGATTTTGACCAAAATATGGCTATTAGAATTGTTCAAAGTTAGAAAATAAAGACATTTATATTTTGCTATATGGCGGGAAATTAGGATTTCTATGCTTTCATGCTTATAGACATACATAATGTACAATTACAGGATAGGTTTCATGTTCAAAACATATGTGCTGACTAAATAAAGTTTGTAGGTTTGGCACTTGTATTAATTGCAAACCTCACAGAAATTCCGTGAGAAATATATTATCTATTTTTCTCATATTTGAGAAAACTGAAGCTTAGCGACTGCAAGTAATTCATCAATGGCCACATAGCATCTTATTAGCAAATTTATGATTTGGCCACAGATCTCATCTGCCTGGCAACAGATCCCCTTACGGATTCTCATATGACAAACTTCTTCAATATTTTCTCCTGTAACAGAAAGGCAATGTGTTCTTACGGCACTTCTCTAAGAACAATCCCAGGTCATGCTACTAACATGAATTCAAAGTATTGAATTACTTAAGGAATGGTGCACAAGTAGCTCTAATTTGTGACAAGCGTAGAATAGAAAAATACAGCAATGTTTTAGAATATTTAACATATTTTGACAATTTTGTATGAGGGGAATGATTCAAAACTGAAGTTTATACTAGACATAGTAGTCGGTGGATATTTAATAGAACATATTTCCAAGCACAGGTTATTACTTAGGAAAATGGACCAAGAGATGAATGGGTAGTAATGGCAAAAGCATGTGAAGAAAGTTGTGATATAAAAAGAATTTGCTGGGTGACTAGCTTAGAAAACAATCTTGAACACTGATAATTTTGAATTGGCACTAACAATGAGGAACACCTGAACTGATTAGAGGAAAATGAGGCTCTGGACAAGAAAGCTGATTAAGAGAAAATTATAGTATTTAAAAATGACCTGGGCTTTTGCCAGATGTTATTCTGTTGAAAGAAAAAGAAAATCATATTTGGGCAACACAAACTGGTCAGGGTTTGGCCAAAGACAAAAATAAAATGTTGATTTGTCTCTGCTAATTATACAGAAGATTAAACTGTAGTTGTTTTTACATTCACTACTTTGAAGTATATGAAGCTAATTTATATGTTTTATATCAATATTTCCTAGATGGAAATGTGACCAATTGAGTATAAAAAAACAGTAGAATTATTGGAAATACTGTGACATATTATATTTATATATTTTATTGGACAACCTTATATGTCCTAGAAAAAGTTGTAATTATTGATTATTAATTTAAATTAATTCTCCATATATCCCAAATATCTGCTACTTTCCAAAAGTTAAGACATAGCCTGGAACCCTTAGAAAGTCATAACCAAGTGGGAACACAGACCACAAATGAATACTTACAGTGTACTAAGATCTGTACATTGAAAGGCGGAATTTTTCATGTAGTAAAGAGGGAGTGTCTGCTACTGCCTCAAAGCATGAAAGAATATTTTCAAAATAAAGCCCTTTAAGCTAAATCTTGTCAGATAACTGATCAGAGAAGAGTAACAGGCTATTTTGGGCAGAAGGAACAGAACGTTCAAGGATATGTTACGAAAGATATGGCCCCTAAAAAAGGTGATTCCTTTGGATTCACTGGAAGAGCATCGGTGAAATTATTGGTAGATAAGCCACAATATTAAGGACTCTGCAGGTCAGTGAGTGATGTTGCTGTCTCTTCACTCACTTACCAAACATTAGCTCCTTTCAGTATTCAAATCCACTGCCTGACTTTGGATCTGACCCTGGAATAATTGCTTCTAAGTATTCTACATGGCTTTAGCCCCCACCATGTTTTGGTTTATCCCCGAGAAACTCTCAGGAAAAACTTAGGTTCATCTCCTTGTTAGACTCCTTCCATGGCTCTCAACCCCTCACAGGATAGTCTAAACCCTTTAGGCAAGTGAATGAGAATTTTATTCATCTGATTATCCCTTATCATGTCAACACATGGAGTAGTGCATGTCATTCCAAACGACTTATCATTCTCTTTTTTATTCTCGTATGTATTCTACAAGCCCATACATTTACACAAATCTGTAAATTCTGGTCTTCATTTCTCTTTGCCGTGGTTACATGGCAAACTGGCCAACATGTTTCTATAGTTTAAAAATGTGCTGAATATCACTCCCTCTTTGAAAGTTTTTCTCACCTCTTCCTTTCTGAAGCTCACGTTACTTCCACCAGGTCTCAAAGGAGATTTTATACAACATTTTATCATCCCAGATCACTTTGTCTATTATTTATTTTATATAGCACCCTACCCCAGTCCCAGACACCTGGGAGCCATATGTTATTTCCAGGTATAAGAGCTGAGAACAATGCTAAGCAAAATTGAACTCTAAAGAAAGTTTTTGGCCAAACAAATATTTACATTTTAAGAAATGTTTTCTTAAAGAAAGATCAATAATGAAGTTTGGATTTTAGCCTTTAGGCAATAGTTAATTAAAACATTTTGACAAGTAAATAACAGTTTTATGATGAGATTAGCTTTTAAAAATACTTTGTTTGCAATATGTGATGGATATGGTGAATTCATTTGTTTAACACTCACTCCAATTAGCTCTACTCCTTGTACTGCCTTGGCTGGAATTCTAAAAACTGCATTTCCCAGACTCTACTGCAGCAAGAGCTCCAGATGGAATTTAAGTTTCTCTAATCAGTACACCAACAGGAAACTGTGCAGAATTGAGTTGGTTATGAAGAGAGGCTGAGCAATTTGTTGTTGGGATTAGATCATATGCAATATGATTCTGGAGCAAGTGAGTGACTGCGGGATTATGACTAAGGTAGCTCATTCAGTGCCTCAGTTTTGTGGGATAGTCATGGGAATTCTTCATGGAAGCTCAAACCTACAGTTTGTTATTTAAGTTTTGCTAAATATTCTTGAAAGTATCAGTACATAAATAAATACCTTTCTTTTTTTTTTTTTTTTTTTTGAGACGGAGTCTCGCTCTGTCGCCCAGGCTGGAGTGCAGTGGCGCGATCTCGGCTAACTACAAACTCCGCCTCCCGGGTTCACGCCATTCTCCTGCCTCAGCCTCCCGAGTAGCTGGGAGTACAGGTGCCCGCCACCACGCCCGGCTATTTCTTTGTATTTTTAGTAGAGACGGGGTTTCACCATGTTATCCAGGATGGTCTCGATCTCCTGACCTGGTGATCCGCCCGCCTCGGCCTATAAATACCTTTCTTATTTAACTAGCTAGAGTGGATTTCTCTATAGCTGAGAAACCTGGCCAATGAACAATATAAACAATTATATGGTAATATTAGAGAAAGGGAACAGGTACTATTAGACACAATTGAGACAAGATGAGAGCCTGAGCACAGGCAAAGCTGAGGGCTGTGGATATTAGTTTGTGGGAATTGATTTGAGAAAACAGCTCTGAAACAGAGATATGACTTGAATATTAATTGAAAGTGAAGGAAGGTTGTAAAAGAATATGTCAGATCAGAATGGCGCTATCATAATAGAAAGGAATTCCAAAAGAGATCAGATATTTGGGGAGAAAACATACTCTATTAGGTTTGGTGTGTTTTAAAGTTTAAAAAAATCAGAAAGACATTAGAAAGAAATGTGTATCAAATATCTAAGGTAGATTGTGAAAAAGAAAATTTGGCTCTCTCTGAGAGTTGAAAGTCACCCTTCACTGCTCACATGTAAACATATTAACTACAAATAATATATGCTCTATAAAAATGCAGGAAGGTAGTGATTTTGTATACCCGAGTGCAAGCATAGACTCACCCATTGGAAAATCAAGTCAATTACATATTCATAATATTTTTCCTTTCTACAATTAAAATACCCTTGCATAGAATTGTCTCACATTAATAGACTAGAAATAATATGTAAAAGTTAAATTACCTATGGTACAAAACTTTAGAATTCTTTGTTTTTTTCTTAACTTTTGTCTTTTAACCCTTTACTTCAAGATCTGCTTAAATTTTTACAAGTTAACAATTTCTTTTAAACCATAATATCGTATATAAAATATTTAGAAATGGACAACTAATTAATTGACCCATTATATTAAAAATGTTGGTCTAGTTAAAATATGTAGCAATAGCAAGAAATGTTTTTTGTATCTGTTGCATGATTATTGCCAAATCTTGTGTATTTATTTAAGATGTTTAAGTTATTTTTCAGAGATCCTGCCTGAGGTCTTCTCAAGAGCAGATGGTAATATCATTCATATAAACACTGAAGCAGAAACAAAACCAGCTTTATTAGATTTTATACAAGCAATGTATTTCATAATCCTTACATTGGCAAATTAGGTTCCAAACCTTACCAGCTACTTCCTTATTATTTCCATTGGATGATTTCAGTAAGACTAGACCACGAAGTACCTGTATTATAGTACAACAACAGAGAAATGGCAAGGCCTTGCTTAATATGAACTCAATGGAATAGTCAATACCCAGGATGTTTTGTGGTGTTTAAAGTTATAAAAAGGTAAGGTTTTCAGTGAAACACAATACTAGTTGGAAGAACATTAGGATAATAAGAAAATAACAATAGACACATTGTGATTAATCCTTTGAAAAACAAACCACTCTTTATGTAATGTGTTGAACTACAAAAGTCAATTGCGTTGTAGTTTTTCTAAGGTGGTTATTTTCTGGGGGCTAAAATGTACTCAACTGTGTTGTTTTTATTAAGCAAATATTATCAATTGCTGTGTCCATGGCTTCTGCTCATTGAAAGAAAATGTATATTTGTTACCAAATTCCTATGATATTATTTTCCATTTTATTAGAATGTTTATAGAGATTACATGTGTGTTAGTTCATTCTCACATTGCTATAAAGAACTACCTGAGAGTTGGTAATTTATAAAGAAAAGAGTTTTAATTGACTCACAGTTTCACAGGCTGTACAGAAAGCATGGCCAGGGAGGCCTCAGGAAACTTACAATCATGGCAGAAGGTGAAGGGAAAGCAGGAAATGCCTTCGAGGCATTTTCCCCATTGTCTTAGCTATTAACATACATGGTCAGAGAAGGAAAAGACTGAAGGGGAAGGTGCCACACAGTTTTAAACAACCAGTTCTCATGGGAACTCACTATCATGAGAACAGCAAGGGGGAAATCCATTCCCATGATCCAATCTCCTCATACCAGGCCCCTCCTTCAACATTGGGGATTATAGTCCAATTTGAGATTAGGATGGAGACACAAATCCACACCATATTATTCCTCCTCTAGCCCCTCTCAAATCTCATGTCCTTCATACATTGCAAAGTACAATCTTCCTCTCTCAACAGTCCCCCAAGTCTTAACTCATTTCAGCATTAACTTAAAAGTCCAAAATCCAAAGTCCCATTCAAGATAAGACAAGTCCCTTACACCTATGAGACAGTAAAATTAAAAATAAATTTGTTACTTGCAAGATTTAATGAGGATACAGGCATCGGGTAAATACAACTGTTCCAAAAGGGAGAGACTGAACAAAACAAAGGAGCTACAAGCCCCCATGCAATTCCCAACCCAGTAGGGCAGTCGTTAAATCTTAAAGCTCCAAAATAATCTCCTTTGACTCCATGTGTCACATCCAGGCAACACCGAGATAAGGGGTTGGGTCCCAAGGCCTTGAGAACCTTCACCCCGGTGGCTCTGCAAGGCTCAAGTCCCTTGGCTACTCTCAAGGGCTGGCCTTCAATGTCTGCGACTTTTTCAGGTGCATAGTGCAAGCTATTGGTGAATCCACTGTTCTGAGGCCTGGATGATGGTGGTCTTCTTCTCATAGCTACACTAGGCAGTGCTCCAGTGGGAACTCTGTTTGGAGGCTCCAACCCCACATTTATCCTCTGTACAGCCCTAGTAGAGATTCTCCATGGGGGCTCTGGTCCTGCAGCAGACTTCTTCATAGACATCCAGGCATTTCCATACACCCTCTGAAATTGAGGAAGAGACTCCCAAGCCTCAACCCTTGGCCCCGGCACACCCAGAGGCTTAACACTATGTGGAGGCCATGAAAGCTTATTATGGCTTACACCCTCTGGAGCAGTGGCCTGATATGTATCTGGGGCCCCTTTATCCATGGCTGGAGCTGGAGCAGCTGGGATGCAGGGAGCAGTGTCTTGAGGTTGCACAGGGCAGCTGGTTCCTGAGCCCTGCCTGCAAAACTATTCTTCCCTCCTAGGCCTCCAGGCCTTTGATGGGAGGAGCTGCCATGAAGGTCTCTGAAATGCCTTTGAGGCATTTTCCCCATTGTCTTAGCTATTAACGTTCAGCTCCTGTTTACTTATGCAAATGACTGCAGCAGACTTGAATTCCTCCCCATTAAATGGGCCTTTCTTTTCTACCCATTTTCTATCCTCACGGTCAGGCTGCAAATTTTCTGAACTTTTATGCTCTGCTTCCCTTTTAAATTCAAGTTCCAAGTTAAGATTATATCTTGTTCACAAATATAAGCATACACTGTTAGAAGCAGCCAGGCCACTTCTTGAACGCCTTGCTGCTTAGAAATTTCTTCCACCAGATACCCTAGATATCATCTCTCTGAAGTTCAAAGTTCCACAGATCCCTAGAGCAGGGGCACAAATGCCACCAGTCTCTGCTAAAACATAGCAAGAGTGATATTTACTCTGGTTCCTAGTAAGGTCCTCATCTCTATCTGAGACTACCTCAGGCTGGACTTCATTGTCCACATCAATATCAGCATTTTGGTCAAAACAATTTAACAAGTCTCTAGGAAATTCTAAACTTTCCCTAATCTTTCTGTCTTCTTCTGAGCCCTCCAATCTCTTCCAACTTCTGCCCATTACCCAGTTCCAAAGCTGCTTCTACATTTTCAGATATCTATATAGCAATGCCCCACCCCTGGTGCCAATTTTCTGTGTTGGTTCATTCTTTCATTGCTATAAAGGACTACCTGAGACTGGGTAATTTATAAAGAAAAGTGTTTTAATTGACTTACAGTTCCACAGCCTGTACAGGAAGCATGGCTGGGAGGCCTCAGGAAATGTACAATCATGGCAGAAGGTGAGGGGAAGCAGGTATGCTGTATATGGACAGAGAAGGAGAGAGTGAAGGAAAAGATACCACACACTTTGAAACTACCAGGTCTCATGAGAACTCACTCATTATTATGAGACCAGCAAGAGGCAAATTGGCCCCCATGATCCAATCACCTCCCACAAGGCCCTTCCTCCAACATTGGGGGGTTACAATTTGACATGAGAGTTGAGTGGGGACACAAATCCAAACCATATCAATATGCTATTTTATAATGACTCTGTGTTACCATATATCATCCGTAAAAAGTATGCAGATCTCATTAATTTAGTAGTCATTCTTCTATGTCAACTGTAAGCAAACATTTCTTAACATTAGTGAGTCTATTTTGTGCTTTAAAAGATAGTATCATTCTTATTTTATTGTCTCACTATAAGTACTACAATTCTCACTCCTTTTGTAGTGATTTCATGGTGCTTAATTCCATGAAAATACCAAGGCACAGTTCACATTCTCAGGTTCATTAAGAATGCCTTATTAGGCCGGGCGCGGTGGCTCACGCCTGTAATCCCAGCACTTTGGGAGGCCGAGATGGGCGGATCACGAGGTCAGGAGATTGAGACCATCCTGGCTAACACGGTGAAACCCCGTCTCTACTAAAAATACAAAAAAAAATTAGCCGGGCATGGTGGCGCGCGCCTGTAGTCCCAGCTACACGGGAGGCTGAGGCAGGAGAATGGCGTGAACCCGGGAGGCGGAGCTTGCAGTGAGTCGAGATCGCGCCACTGCACTCCAGCCTGGGCGACAGAGCGAAACTCCGTCTCAAAAAAAAAAAAAGAATGCCTTATTCTCAGAGAACTCTCTTAAGGGTTTTGTATTTAAAGTACCACAACTGTTTTTACCAGATCTGAATGTTCCAGTTATTCATTTTTATTCCATAGGAAACAAAATCCTGATTCTTCTCACTTTCAATATTAATTGAATCTATAACCTTAAAGAATTATTTGGGAAGCCAATTCTATAAAAGTCATGCAGTCATAGATATCTCATATTTTTTATCATTTTCTTAAGAATCTTCACACCCAAATATCAAAGATTGTTTAGAATACAAAATGGCATACTTTATGTACATGAACTTTGTGTCAGGCTCATTCAAAAGCAAAGCTCAATGAGGGAAGGTTCTCTAAGTGGTAATGCTTCACATGTTTACTCCACACTAGACAAAAGAATCTTGTTTGCAAAAGTCATGCCATGGAACCTAAAACTCTATGTCTATTTCTATGTTGTAATTGGGCCTATTTTTACTTATAATTATATTTGTATCTCTAGACATTCCGAACTCTACTTCTACCTGTATCAATGTAATACAGACCATAGAAAAAGGGTGTAAATATGTTGAAATCTGGATTTACAATGCATTAATCTGCCACATGGGCCCAGGTCTGTGTGACATTGTCAAGTTATTAAATACTTAACCTCACAGTGCCTTAGTTTCAGACATGAAAAGAGAAAAATAGTACCTACCTCACCCTATTGTTATGAAGATTAAATTTCAACTACCCTAAAGTGTTTAGTAATTTCTGTCCTATACTGAACACTTGCAATAACAACTAATATTAGTTTTCTCTCTCTCATACTCCCAATCTCTCTCATGCATGCCTGCCTTTAAATGAATCCTTATGTCAATATTTTATTGAGAATATGGAACTCATACAGTGTGTAGAGACTTACACATTCATTTACCATAAGTACTTTCTACCTTAAGTGATGAAACGGAGAGCCTAGTTTCTGTTTACTAAGGGATGTGAACATCCTTAACAGCGTGACTAAGAGAAAAGTTTTCATCCAGCTGATATCCTATTCTGCTCCATTTTTTCTGATTTACATTATATGGCCTACCTAGTGATTCCCTTTCTGGCTTCAAGGCTAAAGTAACTAAGCCTTGATTTTGCTTAATAACTTTCTCACCACATCAACTGGTGACCACTGATGTGACAACATAGTTATTTCTCTACACTTGTCAGTTGATTTAGAATAATTCAGAAATACTAAAGGTATATACTATGGGAAATTTAGTAATTTTAATCTATAGACATTTTAATTTTTATATTATGTGAGTTTTGCCAATTTTGGCTTTTATAACTTTTTTATTTGGTCAATGAATGTCGCATTTCAATTATTTTGTAAGCAGTCTGTTAGACATTAGCCCAATACTACTCATATAGACAGTTTATTTCCTCAATGGGAAAAGGAAATAAAACCAGATATTTAACAAAAATAACAAATTTGACCCTTTTTTAGAAGTGAAAAAATTCTTATAAATAGAATTTGGAAGGGACTTTTATTTTCCTACCATAGTGCCAATATACAGAGCTAAATTTAAGAAAAAGAAAATGACTCTTGTTCAGCCAAAGCCAACTTTCCAAGGGAAAAATTCTTTAAATATTCAAGGGTTTTTCAGTACGTATTTAGTTTTTCAGAAATAAAAATATTGAGCATACTAACTGAAAATGTATTTGACATTTTAAGTGAGATTTTCCATTTTTTTCAGAGAACACATCAATTTCTTACTCCAAGAAATTTTGAAAATGTATTTTTAAATTTTTGACTTAATGTGGAGACTCTTTATTTGATCATGCTATTTACTAGAAGAAAACGACAATGAACCATGAGAAATTGAAAACTAAATGAAAGGCACTATTACTACAAATGTACATTCATGGTACTTTTGAATTGCTGTTTTCTCTTTACAGGTAGGCAATTATAACATGACTTGGAAACTGCAAACACCTGACCCCAAGGCCGTGATCCATAGTGACAAACCTGCACTAGTGTAGGTTTGAATTAAAGTAGAAGCCGGCAACTCATGCCTAGAGGTTTACAAAACTTGAAAGACAAAAATTAGTCCATACATTCTTCCTAGAACAAAGGTTAGATACTGCATTGTTCACTAAATATTGGACAATTGAAAATTTTTCTCTCTGTACATACTTTCATGACTTCTGCCTCAACCAGCACTCTGACTGCAACTATGCAATGCTGAATTATTGTTGGTGAAAAATAATTGAAATTTTTCAGAGAATCTCAGCTGAAAAGGTTAACCTCAGCATCCTCCATTTATGCTTCTATCACTGTCTTTTTCTCACATTTTATTTTCTTTTTCTGAAAAACTTTTATTTTTGGTTCAGGGGTACATGTGCAATTTATATGGGTAACCTCATATCAGGTGGGTGTGTTGTACAGATTATTTTGTCATTCAGGTACTACGTATAGTACCCAAGAGTTATTTTTTTCTGATCCTCTTCCTCCTCCAACCTCCATCTTCAAGTAAGGTCTCAGTGTCTGTTGTTCCCCTTTTTGTGACCACTTGTTCCCATCTTTTAGCTCCCCCTTATAAGTGAGAACATGTGGTATTTGGTTCTCTGTTCCTGGGTTAGTTTGCTAAAAATGATGGTCTCCAGCTCCATCCATGTTCCCCCAAAAGACATGGCTGTGTTCTTTTTATGGCTGCATAGTATTCTATGGTGTATAAGTACCACATTTTTGTTATCCAGTCTGCTATTGATGGGTATTTAGATTGATTCATTGTTTTGGCTGTTATAAATAGTGCTGCAATGAATATACATGTGTAAGTGTCTTTATGGTAGAACAATTTATATTCCCTTTTTGTTTTCTCACAACCACAAATCTTTTAATTTAGATGTTTCCCCTGTTATCTGCGTTCCTTTTCTATATGCTAAAGACCTAATTCATCTAAAATTTCATCCAGTCTTACCTATACCAACTAATTTGCTTTCCCGTCCTTTTTCCAAACCAATAGAGCAAAACACCTACATCTTGATTAGTCAAATGGTCTGCCATTTCTGTTGATAAAAATGCAAGCTCATCATCTGCCATGCATACTGGGAACATTCAGTAATCCATGGCAGCTTATTGTGATTTTGCTGTTCAGTTGTCTCATTACCAATTCAGCTCTCTACCCTGTTCTCCATAACAGAATTGTAACTGATTTGTGAATATTCTCAGACAAAATTAAATAGGTGTACAAAAATGAACATTTATGTATTAGCTATGCTTTAAAATGATTTAATTTAACTCTAAATCCCCATTTTTCTTGGCCATGAGTGTAAACATGGTGTTAGTCTTTCTAAGTTTTTCTAGGCTGCAACACCTTGATGAACCAGTCTTCCATTTTGACTCTTATGCATAACCGCTGCTCTGAGATTTTACTATTGTATGCTGATGATCCTCAGTACATGCCACTTGTGCCACATCTTTTCTGATAGGTGGACCATGCTCAATTACTCAGCCCTCTGGGAAAACACAAAAGCTCTGATTCTTATTTATCTAGTTCAGGGAAGAGAGTGAATATTGGACCACACTTTTAATAAACGTGGGACCTATGGGAAACTTGACCCAGAGTATCTAGCCCATTCTCTCTTGGCCAAATAGGCCATGTGTCTGTTTCTGAACCAAGGTTTGTAATCAACATGGCACGCAAATCTACCATGCAGATAGATTACTAGAAACCCTATAGAAAACCCTGGCTTATTCTACTACTGTTCCCACTTTACAAGAGTCTGTGCTTTTTTCTGTTAACTATTTTGACCTAGTATATGTCCTTTCATTTAATCTCATCACCATTTCTGTGAAGTCCAAAGCTCCTCCCTCTCTTCTAGAAGAATGTGGGTTTCCTGATTTGTTGAGGATGCTCTCTAGATGAAAAATGGACCTCAGAATTTAGACAAGTATCTACTCTGACCAAATGATCAACAGTTCAATAGTTCACTATGATAAATATTTTCCCAGATGGAAAAAAAGGAATCATTTAATGCTTATATGCTTCAGCCTCATTCACTGGAGCTGTTTCTGAATGGCGCTTACTCAGACGGAGGCTCCAACTTTCTGGATTCACACTTCTACTTATGTTCCACTTCCTCATCCATAACATTTTTAATCTTCTCTAGTGTTAGAGAAAAATGATTTTCTAAGAAGATGACTGGATTTCATTTTCTTATGCTTAGCCTTTGGCTTTAACTATATATAAAATTATTTTGTTTTGTTTTGTCTTGCTTTCAGATTCTTTTGCTTTCTTATTATACAGCTGAAAACTTAGATCCAGTTGTTTGCTTTGGACCATTCTGTCTTCTTAAGCCCTCATTACATGATTATCTCATATCCACCCTTCATGCAGCAGCATAGGACATCTTTTCTAGGAAGACTTTCCCATTCCTCTCAGACTGCATTAGATGTCGTTTCTGGGAGAGTTCTCATCCTGACTTTATCCCATCACAGTAATACTTATCACATTGCAAGTATTACACTTCCACCTTCTGTTTCTCTTTCTTGCCCAGCAGACTGTTGATGAATTACAGGCAGAGACTATGGATATATTTCCTTATATCCTAAAGTACAGGTAGTACCTAGCACAAAGACTTTTCTTGTAAATATTTTCAAATGCAGTTAAATATTTACTATTGGACTGCACTAAAGTCATTGAATTTGAAAGAGCAGTACCTCTATGCCTCTCTGTCATATTTGGGGAATGCCTATTCTTATTTTCTATAAGTATCAGATAAATGTGGTAAATATTCTGTCATTGGTATTTTTGTATAACCACAGTGGTATAAATTCTCTAAAATAGTACATTGAGCATCAGGGTATCTATTGACTTTAATAAGCAATCTAAAAATATTTTGGATATCACTATAAACAAATTTTTCTTGCTGTTAACAGCATTTGGGGAAAGTGTATCAAATATATACTTGGCTATATAAAACAAAGAGATATTAAAAAGAACAAACAAAGTGATATTCTAATTTTAGATCTCAAAATACACTTACGATAATATGGTGATGAAGAGATATTTTTTTGGTTCCCTTAAGATTTTGTATGTAAAAATAGTTTTGTAGGTATAAATTTGAACACCCAAATTGTATTCTGATGCTTGATTGTAATATCTATTTTGAAATGTATACATCTAAATTGAGAAAATGATGAATTAGAAGACTTAACTATTTTTTTGATGGATACCTATAAATAAAATTCATGAAAACATTAGTCAGTCAATATAAATATATAAATAAACAGAATCAGATACGAAGAAGCATTGAAAATAATCTTTCTGTTTCTTAATGTCCTAGACAAAAAAAAGTTCAAAGACATTCTAAGCTGGTTAGTCATCAACCTCATAAGTCAAGCCCTATTTTTGAGCTACAACGGATAACTTATCAGGGTCGTAACTATCAGTACATCAATATAACCTGTCCTTAAAAGTACAGAAAGAGTATATTAAGAAAGCGTCCCAATGAGAGAGAGTTAACTCTCATTCTCTTAGGCACAGTTCAAACTCTTAAAAAACAACAAATAAACAATGATGCTTGCCCTTGAATGTCAAAGAATTTCCCTATCCTGAAAGCAGATGAATCAATTAAAGGATGTTAATGAGGTGATCAGCAAACATCGGGTGTATATTTAAGAATCACTGACATAGTGAGTTGAATGGTTTGAACTGTTGTAATAGTGATGTGAAGAAACCAGTTAAGAAACTACTTTTAAAAAAACTTTTATTGTAAGTTCACCAGTACATGTGCAGGATGTGCAGGTTTTTTACATGGGTAAACATGATCATGGAGGTTTGTCATACAGATTATTTAATCACCAAGATATATTAGATAACTAATATCCATTAGTTATTTTTCCTGCTCCTCTCCCTCCTCCTACCCTCTGCCCTCTGATAGGCCCCACTGTGTGTAGATCCCCTCTATGTGTCCGTGTGTTCTTGTTATTTAGTTCCCACTTACAAGTGAGAATGTGTGGAATTTGGTTTTCTGTTCCTATGTTAGTTTGCTGAAGATATTTGCCTTTAGCTCCATGCATGTCCCTACAAAGGACATGATCCCCTTCCTTTATATGGCTGCATAGTATTCCATGGTATATATGTACCACATTTTCTTCATCCAGTCTATCACTTATGGGCATGATCATGGAATGTTTTTCCATTTGTTTGTGTCATCTCTGATTTCTTTAAGCAGTGGTTTGTATTTAGTTCTCTTTGTAGAGATCTTTCACCTCCTTGGTTAGCTCTATTCCTAGGTGTTTTATTCTTCTTGCAGCTACTGGAAATGTGATTGCATTATTTATTTGGCTCTCAGCTTCAACAAAATTGATGTATAGAAATGCTACTGAACTGAAGGAGACAGAGACACAAAAAAATTCAAAGATCAACAAATCCAGGAGCTGGTGTTTTTTTTTTTTTTTTTTTGAACAAGATAATAAAATAGCTAGACTGCTAGCTAAACTGATAAAGAAAAAAGAGAGAAGATTCAAGTAAACATAATCAGAAATGATAAGAAGGATATTTTGGCGGACCACACAGAAATACAACCAACAGAGAATATTATAAACACCACCATTCACATAAACTGGAAAATCTAGAAGAAATGAATAAATTCCTAGATATATACACCCTCCCAAGACTGAACCAGGAAGAAATTGAACCATGGAACAGACCAATAATGAGTTCTGAAATTGAGGCAGTTATAGTCTTCCAAACAAAAAAAAAGCCCAGGACCAGATGGATTGACAGCTGAATTCCACCAGATGTACAAAGAAGAGCTGGTATCATTCCTACTGAAACTATTCCAAAAAATTGAAAAGGAGGGACTCCTCCCTAACTCATTCTATGAGCCCAGTATTATTCTGATACCAAAACCTGGCAGAAATACAACACAGAAAAGAAAACTTTAGGCCAATATCCTTGATGAACATTGATGCAAAAATACTGACAATACGAATCCAGCCCTCATCAAAAAGGGCTCATCCACCACAATCAGGTAGACTTCCTTCCTGGTATGCAAAATTGGGTCAACATATGCCAATCAACAGTTGTGATTCCTCACATAAACAGAACTGAAACCACATGATTATCTCAATAGATGTAGAAAAGGGCTTTGATAAAATTCAACATCCCCTCATGTTAAAAACTCTCAATAAGCTAGGTACTGAAAGAACATACCTTAAAATAATAAGAGCCATGTATGACAAACCCACAGCCAATATCATCCTGAATAATCAAAAGCTGGATGCATTCACCTTGAAAATTGGCATGAGACAAAGATGCCCTCTCTCACCACTCCTACTCAACGTAGTGTTGGAAGATCTGGCCAGAGCAATCAGGCAAGAGGAAGAAATAAAGGGCATTCAAATAGGAAGAGAGGAAGTCAAACTATCCCTGTTTGCAGATGACATGATCCCATATGTAGAAAACTCCATTGTTTCAGCCCAAAAGCTTCTTAAGCTGATAAGAAACTTTGGCAAAGTATTGGGATATAAAATCAATGTGCAAAAATTGCTAGCATTTCTGAACACCAGTGACAGTCAAAACGAGACAAATCACAAATGAATTCCCATTCACAATTGCCACAAATAGAATAATATACCTAGGAATACAGTTAACAAGGGAAGCAATAGATCTCTACAAGAAGAACTACAAACCACTGTTCCAATGAATGATTATTTTGATTTAGGGGAGAGATAATGGCAAGTTGGACAACAACAGTTGTTTGAGATAAAAGGTGGTAAATGGAATTGAAACGCTATTTGTGAGGCAAAATGATAATATGTAATGATGTGTGCGTGCAGGGGATAAAGAGATCATTATTTCAGTTCTGGAATTCTAGGTTTGTGGTGCTTTACAGAAACCTGAGTTGATATTTAAGTAGTCAGTTGGATGTAAAAGTCAGAGGAAAGCAATTGTCTAGAGGTATACACGTGAGAGTCTTAGGAATAAGACAAGTGTTTGAAATTCTGGTCTCTGACAAGATTGCCTAAATTTGAGTACTCAGTAAAAAACAAAGGAGATAGTTATGAAGAACTCCAACATGTAAACATAGAAAAAGCAAGTCTGGGAAACAGCTTGAGAAGGCACAACCAGAAAGGTGGGAGTAAAAGTAAGAAAATGCTTTGTCTCAGAACTTAAGAAAAGTATGGTTAATGTTACAGAAAATTCAAATCAGATAAAGATTAGAAAATGCTCATTGGATTGAATGATATAGAAAATTTTATGAGATATTCATTTGATTGAATGAGAGGAACAGAAGCCAAAAAAGAATGACATATGAGGCATAGGCTGGGCATGGTGGTGCACACTTCTAATCCCGGAACTTTGGGAGGCTGAGATGGACAGATCACTTGAAGCCAGGAGTTCAAGAACAGCCTGGCCAACATGGTGAAACCCTGTGTCTACTAAAAATACAAAAATAGTGGGGCGTGGTGGTGCATGCCTATAATCCCAGCTACTCTGGAGGCTGAGGCAGGAGAATCAATTGAACCAAGATCGTGCCACTGCACTCCAGCTTAGGGGAGACTCTGTCTCAAAAAAATTAAAAAAAATTAAAAAGAAGGAGTGATGTAAGAGATTAAGAGATGGAAGATGGTAGAGGTTACACACACACACACACACACACACACACACACCACTTTCCACTAGGTTGTGTGGTAAATGAGAGAATAATATAGACTAATCCATCATTCATGTATGGAAATATCTGGAGTCTCCGTTGACAGATCTCCCAAGAAGAGGAAAGAAAGCATCCCGCAAGAAGAAGAAAGAAAATAAATAAGATTATACTCTCATAGTTAATATTCAGTGACAATCTGAGGATCAAAATTAAGACAGCCAATCCAGACATAAAGAAAGAAAATAGTTCTCAACCCACCAAAATACTGCAAGCATAGCACATTCATTATATTTTAAAAATAAAGAATGTATCTTCCAGAATGGAGTATTAGGGGCATGAAAACAAAGAACAAGAAGCAAATACTGGCATTATTGGCATTATTCATCTATAAATGGGTTTTCTTGGACAAATATTACCACATTTTGAGGAAAGATGAATTGAGTTCTCCTAGTCTGATTCCATTAAATATTTAAGTATTACCACCTTCCCTTGCTCTCCTGTTATCATGAACCTCTTTTACAATAATTATTTGACTTTTTATTTAGCTGGTTGACATAATACACTATTGTGAAAACTTCGTATATTGGTCTCCTTAGCATTTAAAGTTCTCTATATAGATTAACTCGCCACCAGTTAAACTGATCACCAGTGATGTTCTACATCCCTGATGTATAAAGATTATACTCTGATAGTTAATATTCAATGACTACCTGATTGATCAAAATTAAGATAAATCCAGACATAAAGAGAGAGTACAGTTCTCAACCCCCTGAAATACTGCAAACATAGTACATTTATTACATTTATTATATTTTAGAATGCATCTTCCAGAATACACTATCATGTATGTATTATGTATCTGCCAGCAAAATTGTTATAATGATACATGAGATGTAGACCGGTCAATGTGAAAATGGAAACAAAGAAAAGCTCATATCTAATCAGAGATGTAAGTCCAGAGAAATAGAATCATTTTCTCCCATCGGCTTTCCTTGGGGGGAGGTATACTGAAGTGTATTTGCTGGATTCCAGAGTTTGTCCTTCGTCCTGTATACCCAGAAATTTCATTCTATTATCAAGTAAGAACAAGTTCATCTCTTTAGACCGAACTGCCATTAACCAAGCTCACAATACAGATGTATAAAATCAGTACATCTTATGCGTCCTATTTGAGTGTACATAACATAGCCCACCAGGAAAGCTGATGGGAGGAAATGATTCTATTCCTCTTGACTAACGTCTCTCATTAGATAGGAGCTTTTCCTTATTTCCATTTTCACCTTTACAAGTCTGCTTCTCATGTATCGCTGTAACAACTTTGTGGGCAGGTACCTTTAATTTTTCATTGCACCTGGCAAATTGCTCTAGACATATTGGCTACTTATAATAAAATTAGAATTCTAAATGTTTGTATAGTTTTATTGGTGTACATTTGAGCATAGGCCGGGCATAAATTGCTTGGCAGCAAACTTGTGTTTAATCTGCACTATCCCTTCACTTATTGAATTATCTTGTGCTGGAAACTAAAACCCTAAGGGTCATGGGAATCATTGTAAACATGGCATATATTTTCAACATCTTGGCCTTTACCAGATAGCTATTAGCTAAAAATGAAAAGTTCTGTACTGTATTTGAATGCTTTATTAGCATTAACTTTCGTGGGAAACACGGTTGTTATACACCCTCAAAGAACAGATTGCCCATAACATGCTCTGTTTGTGATGAGATATTAAAGACCAGCTCTCATAATTTTTCACTCCACATTTATAGATTTGTTTCTGCTGACAGAATAGTGGAAATGTAATTAAATGTTTAGTTTAATTAAAACGGAAAATAAAGGTTTGTTCTCAGAAATTCAGTGCAGCCCCAAAATAGCAAACATGAGTGATTATGTATCTCAAAAGCATGGTACTACTGGTTTCTACATGTATATGTTTTTTTTATATTCTCAAACATAATAACATTCATATTATATAATTCCCAAAGCAAACTGTGCATTGCCATCACACATAGACACATCTCTACACACACAAGATGTATATGCAGAAGTCATATTAAGTTTAGAATAATATTTATGAACAAAAATTGATCGAGGTTGGCCTAGTGAATTGATGTGATAGGCTACATATTGAGAAACTCCCAGAATATGTCTATACCAGGGGTCAGCCAAATTTTTCTGTAAAGAGCCAGATAGTAAATGTTTTGAGCTTTGCAGGCCATATGGTCTCTGTCAAAACTACTCAATTCTGCTGTTGTAGCATGAAGCAGCCGCAGACTATAATCAAGTGGGCCTGACTGTGTTCCAGTAAATCTTTATTTATGGACACTGAAATTTGAATTTTATATAATCTTCATATTTCACTAGTCTTATTTTGATTTTTCTTAACCATTTAAAAAATGTAAAAACATTCTTAGTTCACATACCATACAAAAACAAGTGGCAGGCCCAATGACTTATGACACACACACACACACACACACACACACACACACACACACACACTTTCCACACACTGCACTTCAAACTATTAAATAAACATCTCTGATTTCAACTCCCGCTACTCTCTCTCTTGCTAATTCTGCACTATTCACACTTTCTTTCTTCCATGAGCAATCCATCATTTCTATATTTTGAGTCATGCTTAAAAATTCCTTTCGTATTCAAAGATTTCATGGACATTTAACTGTAATAGTTTCTTGGTATTTTTATGTATTCTTTTTTCTCAAAATTATATATTTATTCAACAATTTTTTTCAAGCATGAATCAACTCAGCACTGTATTTTTGTGGAATGATGCCTAAGTCAACATTCTTTATGTATTTACTTGTGGAATGCATTTTTGCTACGTGTCAGATCAGCATCTTTATTCCAGATGGTTAGCCAGTTGAGTCTCTATAATCAATTGAATAATCCATCATTTTCCTTTGGAATTTGAAATGCACTTGGTAATATATTAAATCTTTTCACCATTTGTTATCTAATCTGGATTGTTTTCAGTTGCACTGAATTATTTCTTTACTTATATATAATCTATATTTTTTAAATTATATTCAAAGCGTATTTGATATTTATTATTTACTTTAGTATGACTTCTCTTACTCAAAAGTGTCTTGGTACTTCCAGTGAATCAATTTTGAAATGAAATTTACATCATAGCCAACCTAAAAAAATTTAACTCAATATTTGGTTGTGGTTGTGTAAAGTTCTTAAAATATTTACATGAAAATTGACCTATTTAATTTTCTCATTAAAAAAGAGATGTATCACTTTTGTCTTATAAATGCATATTTCCCTCTAAGTTAACTAATGTTATAAGAAATTTTTGTTGTGATTTTGAAAGGAACTGTTTTGTATATTTTAATGTTTCATTAGATTTTTAACATATTTTATAAAATTAATGTATTAAACACATTTAACATGCATAGAGAAGCTAAGTACTGTGTTTCATGACATATGTTTAAAACAACATTATATCTTTATAATAATGGTAATGATTAATCCAAACAACTACAAAATGTAGTTTCTAATTATAAAATGCCATGTGCTAATTTAGGAATATATGGAAACAGGGAGAAGTAGAAAACCGGAAAATCAAAAGCAAGTTCATATTTCATCAGTCTGAGCACTAACACTTATTTGTTTCTAATTATCATTTTAATGAGCATCTTGGTTGCTGTTATTGTAGACATTGTAGATATCCTCGTAGTTTAAAAATTCTAACAGTTCCAAATATTTAAATGAGAAGAAAAGTTTTTCCTTCAAGCTCCATTCCCTAAAGTAATTCCTATTTTAAATTCTTTTGGTAGAAAATATTATTGTAAATAATTTTATTATTCTCATAACGTGTGAAAAAATTATTTATCTATTAACTCCCTACTTCTGTGGAAAATAAATTTAACACACATAAATGATCTATTTCCTCCCAAACCTTTCTGCTTGCCATCTCTAATTCTTCTAGTCTATGCCTTTATGGTTAAAAAAATTTCTCTTTGATTTCTCCAATCAAGTTGTTATCTGTTGATGCCGTACTTTTAACAAAAATAATGAAATCTATATACTTACCCCCTTCCATCTTGCCTTTTCAATCTTGTGACATATTATGTAGTGTGTTATATGTTATTGAATTTAATATTGATTTGAACACCTAGTTGTTCTCTTATTTTCTGACTTTATCAAAAGGAAATTCAATAAATATGTTAATGCCCATAAGGAATTCTATCTCTTTCAAATTGTTACTCAAAGGACAATCTCCAAATGTCAAGTGCTAATGGTCGTTCTCCAAACACGTCTAATCATAGAAATCAATCCATGAAACGTAGTTAAATATCCAGATGTTTAGACATCTTTACTGAAGAAGCTAATTTAGTTGGTCTAAGAAGATCCAAAATTAGTTTTATAATTAGGCAAAATTAACCTAATGATTCTTTTGTATGAATCTATATTCTTACCAGTATTGTTTGCATCAGTGTCTTTCTTTTGTTTACTTATGTTTCATTCTTTCTCATTTGGTTATTAACCATCTTAAATAACTTGAAAATTATATATATATGTGTGTGTATGCATATGTATATGTATATGTATGTGTGTGTATATGTATGCATGTGTGTAGATATGTGTATATATATATAGAAATTGTTGACAAAGAACAGTCTCCTAAGTTTAATGTCTAATGGTCATTTCTCAAACTTATTTAATCATAAGAATCAATTTATCAATTCATGGAAAGTGTGTGTGTGTGTGTGTGTGTGTGTGTGTGTGTACATATATATATATACTTTGTTTATATATAAATGTGGACTAAATTCCTGAAGTTTTCATGTTCAAATATACTTATTTTGCCATTATTTTTGATTGGATAATATGGCAAGTTATGCAGTAAATGCCAGATTCAAGCATCTGTTCAGATTAGGCTCTGCGCTGTCTTCTAGTATTCAGTGCCACTGGTGAGATATCTAGTGTCATTCGGATGTTTATTTCTCAGTAGATAATCTGCTTTATTTATTTTTGTTTCTATATAGACTTCATTAGAATTTGTCTTTAGTTCTGGCATTTTCAAATTTCTCCAGAAATGTATACGTATTTTCCTATTATTCCCTTTTAGAATTTTGTGGTTATTTCAGTGATGAAGAAAGACTTGTGTCTTCCCTCAATCACAGGGATTCTTAACTCACTTTATTGGCTCTTCAAATTTACTTTCTATTTTTTCTGTTATTTGGAACTCCTTGTAGATAGATAGTGGAATTTGACACACCCACTGTTCCTCAACTCATTTTATTGGGTCTTCAAATTTACTTTTTATTTTCTCTGTTATTTGGAACTCCTTGTAGATAGATAGTGGAATTTGACACACCCACTATTCCTCTTTATATTCATGTGATGTTTCT